>NC_000012.12:42611643-42763158 GCF_000001405.40 Homo sapiens | reverse complement strand
AATCTAAATGCATTCAAACACTTCACATCTTAAAAGTATTTGTGATGATTGAAAAAAAAAAACCTGAGTATAGATTTACTTTTTAATGGAGGCTTTGTTATATAAAAGTTATTCCTGTCTTATTTCCTACTATTTGGGGTCTTAAAGTAGTAAACTTTTTAAAATTTTACAAGTCCTTTATTTCTGGATGCTATTCCTCTTTATTTCTATTTATAAACAAGTCAGTGTTTGCCTGGGTTTTATCTCTTATTTTCTAATACTTTTTAACTTCAGCTACTAATAGCCAATACACACTACTACCATTCTGTTTTCCAACCATCTCCCCTAGAGGTATGGGCTACATGGGCACATTGCCTTCCAAGTTATCACAGACAACGTTTTACCAATTGTCTTGTCACTGCATAACATGCTCCTGTTTTTCCTGTCTCTGACATTCATTTCCTCAAATCCCACCTCTTGCCACCTTCCACCAACCTCTAAGCCAATTTCACACCTTTTAGGTTGTCTTAAGGCAGAACAACACTTTGTGTCACAGAATATAAATTATGATAATGCTACCTACATAATAATACTTTTCAGTGGCTTAACCAGTGGTGTGCTGGTAAAATGACTCTCTGCAATAAAAGCCCTGATGTATAGCACTTGCCAACCTCTGTATTGTAAGTGCTCCAATCACACTGATTCCAAGCTATCAACTTGATGTCAACTGGCTTACACAATTCCTGCAAATTTAACAGTCAGCTCTTGCCAGCCAGTGAAAGCCAGATAGTTAATTTAAGCACACTAGTGAGCTGAACCCAGTGTATAAAATCCAATCAACAGTGGGAGGGTCTGAAAAAGGGAGTTTGCTTCAGAGGGACCCAGGGTGATAAAGGCTCTGGCACATACAACACATGGTTTTCAAGGTCATTTGGTGCCAAAATTTATCCAGCAGACAGGGAGGAAGGATGATGGAGGATCCCCAGGGAGGATTTTATAGGCCAGGCCTGGAAGTGATGTACATAACTTTCAGTCACATTCCATTTGCCAAAATCTAGTTTATGACTACTCCTAACCACAAGGAACGGAGGAATGTAGTCTAGTCGTATGTCCTGGTGCAAAGGGAAACAGGTTTATCTAACACCTGTCCAGTCTCTGCCACTGAACCCCAGACCCAAGTTCCAGCCCATCATGGTATCATGAATATCTTATCAAGTCACTCTGCACGGGTCAGTTTTGAGAAGGAAATGATGGCCATCACGGTATAAAGCAAGGCCTAGTGTTGTCAGGAATTATACAGTAATTGTAGCTGCAAGCACTTAAGCAGGCCCAGCTCTGATTGGCATCTTCTACCAGGTTCATGGTAGAGGTAAGTTGTTCAAGTTAAGTAACAGAACCCTAGTTTCCTTATCTGTTTATATGATCTTGAACACCCAGGATGACAAGAAAAACATTGAACTTAGAATGCAGAGGAAGTTTCATAATGAGTTCAAATCTTTAAAGAGAGACAGCTTCAGTTTTAGCAGTCAGGGATTCCTATCCCAACTTTGTCACTGTCAGCCCTAAGTTCCTTATATGAAAGTTGAATAATTATACCTAATTCACAGAATAATGATGAGTAGGTTGGATAATTACTACAAATTGCTGGCACATAGTAGTTACTCAAGAAATGTTATTCCTTCCCCCCTCCCCACCTAACAAGGGACACATTCAGCTAAATTCTAGTAGGCAAGGTTCATTGCTGGTGCTCCTCCACAGAAATTTTTAGCACCTCTACCACTTGACATGATCTATAGCAGAATCTGAAGCTTCCCTCTCTTCTCTTTTCCCAAGAAAATTTCTCTGGCCTTCTCATCTGAGTCATGCTTTGTTCTCTACTAACCAGGTTAATGTGTTTAGTAAATTTTGAACATTCTGGAGACATTGTTGTTGCCAAAATAATTGGGGGAAGAAAGTCAGAGATGCTAAACATCCTGCAATAGCCAGGAATTAGACACAAGAGAAAAATTACCCTGCCCATCGTATCAATAGTGCCTCCCACTGTAAGGAATTTAATGGTGAAAATTAAAAAAAAAAAAAAAAAAAGCTTTATAGTGGGGAAACGGAAAGAAGGACTCTTCTGAGACACCATACAATGGCCGTTCTTCTGCCCCTTAGTTTTTGACTCACGCATCTCCACTAAGGTGATTCTACAAGAGAGAAAGCCTCGCACTTTTCTCCTCCACCAAGTAGCTGGACTGCACTTCACCCCACCCCCACCCCAGGAGTACTGTGACCACTTTTTCTATGCATCTGACCTCATGATCCAAGTACACAAAATAAACTCTGTGGGAATCATCCCAAGGGTTAAAGCCATTTCTTTCCACTTAAAATGGTGATGACTGACCTGGGAAGCAATAATTAAGTCTGAGTATAGATAAACAATAGGCAAGCTTGCACAACCAAATTCCTCATTGCAATCAGGTCAAAGTTAAAACTAATGACAAGCTGTGTCAAAAATAATGACACATAAAAACCTCTCAGTCAAGTGTGTTTAGTTCACAGATAGTCACTTTTAAGCATAAAACAGGTCTCCTATTCATTTGGATGTCATGAAATGGCAAAGTTGATACTGCTTAATGTAGGAAACTATTAGCTGATGCATATTTAGATTTCTGTTTAAAAACCAGAGTGTTAAATATCTTCCCCTAAAGAGACTTTCAAGTTGATCAAAGATACAGGATTGTCCTAATTCTTTTCAAATGCAGACCATCTTTAAAAAGTTAGAGCAGGAAACGTGTCCACGATTAAATAAAGTTAGATCTCTTATGATGCTTGCAATTTAAGATTTTTATCTTTTTGATGGGACTAATCCCAAAGCATTTTATTACTGGGTGAAGTCCCTTTTTCCATAGCATGGGTTCTGAGTCCAAGACCCAACAGGTCACAATTTTGCCTTTTATAATACACTTATATATGATATATAATATAAAATATAATAATATTTATGGAATAAAACTGCTCCAAGGCTGAGCTGAAAAGCACAGAAGGTGCTCAAGTGCTGCACTCCGCCTGCAATCCTGTGCATTCACAGACACTGGGCATCAGGCCTTCTGGCCCCAAACCAAGGAAGTTGCTTAAGAAAGAGCTGGCCCATTCCTGGGGTCATTTAACCTTCACTCCTCAGACAGAGCTTGTTTAAGCATTTTGCTCCTCAGATCCAGATTTTGGTCCCTGGTTCCTGAGGGACCTTTAAACCCCTAGTTTCTTGTCTTACGACCCACAGAGGACCTCTCTGATTAGAATGGAACAAGCAGATGAAGCTGGACCTGAGCGTTTTTCCATGAGCCTGAAATCTCTGTTGACATCTCCTCTGCCTCTCAGCCAGGACATTTTGAATCAGCCAGAAACTATCTGATTTCTCCATTTGATGTGATTACCTGAACACAGTGTAGCAGGAGGCCTAGACAAGATGCACAGGGTTGTTGTGAACTAAAGCTCCTTATTCCTTGAGATTAAAAGATACATGGTAATTCTGCCGCCCGAGGCCAGAGGCATCGAGTTTCTCTCAGTACAGACTTCCCCCACATTGGAAAGGAACTGTCATTAAAAACATTATTAAAGATCTGTCTCCCACGGGGGGCCCAATGGCCCCTCAGTCAGAAACCAGTGCTTTGCTTTTCTGCTGCCCACTGGCTCTTTGTTTGGAATCTAGACACCATCCCAAGTTGGAGGAGACTGGCCATAGGCTCACTGGGTCCTTTCTCAGAATTCCCACCAAGATGCTGCCTAGTAAAGGGATTGCAAACACCAGTCTTTTCCTCTATGCCAACGACTTAATTATAAGGAGCAGTCTCAAACCTTGCCGCCTTGTATCTCACAACCATCTGTGAGAACCACATCATTGCCTCTATTTTGCAGATGAGAAAACTGTGGTCTAGCTTCCATAAGTGACGAAGGGTCAAAGGAAGAGAAGTATCCAAACAAAGAGTGCAACCCAAATTATCTGGCTCCAAGACCAATGCTCCTGGCCATGCCCCTGCCCTGCAGCTGGCTTCTCAAAGCCTCCCTTCCTGGCAGCAACAGAGAGCGCCTGGCCATGCCTTCGTTCTTGTTTACTGGAGAGTTGACGGCAAGAAATCAGCAAGTATTAACCTGCAACTAACATAGGTCTCATCAGCTTTGTACATGAGTTTTTTTAATCGGACAAATCTAAATAAGACACTCATGTGGGTATTTATTGTAATTCAGCCTCCAGACCACAACTGGAGAGCATGTTGCTGCTGGTTCTTAGCAGGTCAATTAGTGGGTGGATGCTGGCATCCTCCAGGAACCATATCCTGCTTTACAATATTTAGCCTGCTCATATGCCTGTAAATTATAGGAATTGAAATACAACATATTATATACCCAGGTCCACACAACCAAAGGGAACCACCCTAATTATATTCAGTTAAAAATGGCCCAGCTCAGTCCTGAATTGTTTAGGTAATTAAGGGCAAGCCAAAGCTATTTGTCTGAATTACCCAGTAGCACGTGATTTTCTGTGCTCTCTGGACAAGTCTTGTAAACTCAAGTCATGCTTTTGTGTACTTCATATACTTTTATCATTACAGGTTGATGTGATATACTCTTATCTTTACAGGTTGTGTACTTCATATATGTTTATCATTACAGGTTGATGTGAATTTTCATATTTTATAGGCTCAGTTATTCCTGTGGGTATTTCCAATCTTAAATTAAGTGCTTATTTCACAAACCACAATTTCAACCATTCCAAGATCCATCGCTAAAGTGGTTTATACTTTAAACAACTTGAAAACATATAAAGTTGTCAATTCACTCTTCTGCCTAGGATACTAACTTCACACCCAACCAGCAGCATGTGCAGACCATGTCAGAGAAGCATGAGACAGAGAGGGGCTCCTCCACTGTGGAGGGAGGAGACCCTGATAGTTATTTTAGGGGACTTTGTCATTCATTTCATTTCGTTACTCTTGCCATCAAGTTGCAATTTCCTCTTTTTCTGCAACTAAATCATTCTGAATATGTTAACCCTAGGACACTATACCTTTTACATCCAACAGAGGGGAGAAATATAATAAAGTAAAAGTGAGCAGACCTGCCCTTCCCTTCTATATGCAGGCAACAATGGGATATATTGGATATTACTCTCCGATTCTTTTTAGCGTAAAGTTTTCCTGCATCAAATCACTTTTCCTCCTGCTGCCTGCAGCTGAACAGACAGCTGGAAGTCAGCTGCGTAGCGTCTAGCGTAATTGGTTTTTAAATGTGTCACTGTTAATTGTGTGACATTGTCTCTCATTCTGTTTTGTGAATGGACTGTGCTGGATGCTAGAGCTAGGCAGACAGCTCAGCAATTTGCCACTGTGGCTTTTCTAGACAAGCAAACTTTTCCTCTCTTATCCCTGCAATCAAGGGTAGAAAACCAGTGGAGGAGCTGGGAAAAATCCTAATTCTTGAAGATGTCCCAGAGCTGAGGCTCTTACTCAGGTACCGTTGTCCCAAACCATCAGAGCTCTCTCCAAAACTGACGTCCAGTGTCATCCTCGTTCATGGTTGTGGTCACCCACATGAATTCTTTCTATTGCCCCTCCCAGAAAAGGTCTTCACGTTTATGATTGTATAGCCCAGTCATTAGAAATGTCTGAGAGAGAATTCCACTCTCAGGTTGCATCGTGTGGTTATGAACTTCGTTTGATCACTGCTCCATCAATTTGACATTAACTGCTGCAATTTACAACCACTCCAGCTTTCTACCTATTACTGTACCTTCTGCAAGTGAAAAAAAGAAAAAAGGGGGTAGGGGAGACCTCTGCTGCCCAGGGGAAGTTTAAAAGAATGTGATGGCTTGTTAAAACCTGACAGGGGATCACTGGGGGAAGGGGATCACTGAAGACAACAAACCAAGCCTGGTAATGAATAATGTCTTGCTCCCCGCTGTGAACACCAGTGACCTGACCTGTCCAGCAAGGCAGAGGAGTGAATAATTCACCGTGCGAGTCATAGGCCTCCTGGTAGGCCACAACATTGCTTTGTCTTACAAATATGTTCTCCCACAGAATCAGACCTGACAGGCTGGTTCGTTCAAGAAATGTTTAAACAAAAGCCTTGTGTGAGGGAAAGAGCACTTTGTGATTTTGGCCCAGGGCTCCCAGCGCTGAAGTTTCTGGTGAGCACTTAGCTGGTTAATAAATCCACAAGCATCAAAGCAAAGGTAATCAAAAATGGAACTGGTCAGAAGATGCGGAGGCCCTGCTCCTGTCTGATGAAAGTGTGATGAAGTCAGACAAAAATCCATTTTCACCACATATGCAAATTGAAGTCACATTCATTGTCTGACTTGAACCCACAAAGTGAAGAAAGTATAATGCAGCTGGGAATTCCAGGTGACCACTTGACCTTGACTCTTGCAATTTAATTTAAAAGAGAAAAAATAAGTATATTTCTCTTTGAATGAAGAACCAGAAAGATGTCAAGACTTTTTGGTTGAATTTACTCTTTATGGTGGCTTCAAAGTAGACTGCAGAGGTTTCTGCGAGTTTTTGGAGGCCAGGGCAATTGGTTAGGTCCCTTGGTTTGTGGAAGAAGGGGTCTTAGTGTTACACCAAAGAATAAGATATTCTGAGTCCTTGGCCCCTCTTCTTCCTGGATGGGGATCAGGCAGACATGATGAGACAAATGAAATGGGAAAAAGTGGGAGCCAGCCTCAAGGAAGAACACTTTACTTCTTCATGATGCTTCCCTTTCTGCTGATCTGAGAAAGTGAGGTTCACAGAGAACTGGTAGAATACAGAGAGATTGCCCCCAGAAGGCTTCTGATATCCCCTTCCTAGATATCAATGTGTATATAACTCAGTTGACTATAAGAACAGGACTAGGGAACATTATGTTTGAGCAAAGTTTTACTCTGAATTAATGCTTGACCTAAATTGCTAATGAAATTGCTCACTGGTACGTATTGTAAACTACAAACTGAGCTAAACCAGCCTTGAAACACACTCCACAGGCAAGGCTCCATAACTTAGAGCGGAGACTCAGACCGACCTCATGGTAAAGGGTTCTAAAAGCCCTAAGACAAAAATAGAGTGTGCTTGGCATGAACAGTCACCTCTCCCGACATCCCTAAATAAGTTCCATTATGGAAATGTCGTGAATTAGCCACGGGACACCTTCCTGCTGTTGGGAGTATAAGAGTTAGTCTTCGCCACTTCATTGCCAACCTTTGGCACTGCTAGTCTTTTTAGTTCTGATGCGTAGTGGTTTGTCACTGTGATTTTAATTCATATTTCCATGGTAAGTTAGGGCAACCATAAAATGTATCCTTTAAACAGAAAATGAAAGGTGTGCTTTTAATAACTGAGCAACTAACGTAATCTGGGGCTAATATAGGCAAACTGGGATATATGATCTCCCTACTGCTGACTAATGAGGTTAAGCACTTTTTTATATGTTTGTTGGCTATTTGGGTATCCTCTTTGAGAATTTATCTATTGAGTTGTCTTTTTATTATTTTATTTTTCCATAAGTTATTGGGGTACACAAGAGTAACTTCTTTAGTGGGGATTTGTGAGATCCTGGTGCACCCATCACCCGAGCAGTATACACTGCACCATATTTGTAGTCTTCTATCCCTCTCTCCTTTCCCACTCTTCTCCTCAAGTCCTCAAAGTCCATTGTATCATTCTTATACCTTTGTGTCCTCATAGCTTAGCTCCCACGTGTTGGTGAGAACATACGATGTTTGGTTTTCGAGTTGTCTTTTTCTTACTGATAATACCGATAATAGGAGTTCTTTACATCTTCCTATTATATACATATATATATATATATTTCACATAAACTCATATATGTTTCATAAAGATATTTAGTCATAAAATACCAGTCATCTGTTTTATATATTGGGGTTTAGCATACTATATTGCTAAAATACTTGAAAATCAGTGCTCTAGAATGCTAGTTAAAATGTGCTCTACTTTGCATCTAGAACACATGGTGAACCTATCAGGCCATGGTGTGACATATTAAGACTTTTACTCAGAGTCTATTTTTCTCATTGAAAGAATTTCTAATATTTGATTGCCTCTTTATTGTTACACTTTGCTTTGTTTGGAATTAAAACATTACAGATAGAATTGAAAATTCCAGCATGTCATTTCCCAATCCTATTCTATTCCTTCCCCACCAGAGAAAACCTCTTTAAAGAATTCTGTTTATCATTTTCATACAGCTTTTATAATACTACAACATATATGTATCTATAGTTACATACAGTAATGTTTAACAATATATAAATAACATACATATCATATGCGGTATATACAATAACTATTCTGTACCTTTTTGCTAAAGTCTGTTTTTTGAGATTTATTCATATTGATACATGTGGCTCTAATTATTTTTAAACTGGTGGGTTAGTAATCACCACTGTATGAATATATCATAATTCATTTGTTCTCCTGTTGATAGATATTGAGGTCATTAACCTCCTCTGTTTAAAAAATGCAGACTTTAATGAGACTTCTTTAAACAAAACTACTTATTAACAAGTGTTAGGCTTTTCTAAGAGATATATCTAGAAGTGGAATAGCTGCTTCATAGAAAATAAGCACTCCAATAGAAAATTACAAGATGTTGCAGAAAGTACTCTTCAAAATGTTCTCCCTAATGTTGTATGTTCTTCTCAACATTGTATGAGAGTTACAACTGCTCTACAGCCCCAATAGTACTTGGTGTTTAGTTTTGCCAATGTGATGGACGTGAAATCGTATTCCATTTTCATTTTGTGTTTCCCTAATTACTAGTTTGAACATCTTTTCATTTGCTTATGGTCCATTTTAACTCCTTCTTCTTAGAATTAACTTTTACTTTTTTTTTGCCCATTTGCTTTTGGGTTGCTTATTTCTCATTAATTTATAAGAGATCTTATATACATACTATCTTTCATAGTTTTTTGTTAGTTATATGCATAACAAGTATCTCCTTCCATTCTGTGGCTTGTCTTTTAACTTCTTACAGTACCTTCTGTTGAACATTTACTTTAAATTTTAATGTAGTCAAATATATCAATTTATTCTTTTTTTTGGCTTTATTGATATACAACAGTTGTACATATTTGGGAGATATGTGTCATATTTTAATACCTGTATACAATGTGTAATAATGAAATCAGTGTAATTAGGATATTTATCACCTCAAACATTTATCTTGTCTTTGTTTTGGGAATGATTCTTATCTTCTAGCTATTTTGAAATATACAATAAATTAACTATAATTTTCCTATTGTACTATCAAATACTAAACTTATTCCTTCTATCTAAATGTATTTTTGTGCTCCTTAACCAACTTCTCATCATCCCTTTCTATCCCCTAAAAATATCAATCTCTTCTTCCATGCTTCATTCCTTTAGTGGCATTTCGAGAAAATTTCTTACCTACTTTAAGGTTATATAAGTATTTTTCTACATTTTCATCTAAAACTTTATATTTTCATGTCATAGTTAGGACTTAAGTGTGCCTGGAATTATTTGTGCATAGTTTGAGGTAAGAATGTACTTTTTTTACACAAGGCTAACCAATTGTCCCATCATAATTTTTAATAGTTTTTGTCTCAGCATAATTTATCAAATACTCTCCCCTTCCTTCTACTGATGTTAAAGATAACCTTTGTCATATACGCCCATGGATCTCCTTCTGGGCTGTTTTTTTGATCGGTCAAACTGGTCGTTGTTAAAGTGTAATAGACTTTGAGATCTGCTAGGACAAGTCTCCCACATTGTTATTCTTCGCAATTTGCTATTTAGTATTAATTTTAGAATCAAGTACCACAAAATATTCTTACAAAGTTTGATTAGAATTACACTGAATATATGGGTTAATTTGGGAAGAACTGATATCTTTACAATATTGAATTATCTTAGTCATTGTAGCAGTTTGTTCTCACACTGCTATGAACTGCTATGAACACCCAACTGAGACTGGGTAATTTATAAAGAAAAGAGATTTAGTGGACTCACAGTTTCAATGGCTGGGGAGGCCTCAGGAAACTTACAGTCATGGTGGAAGGCTCCTCTTCACAGGGCGGCAGGAGAGAGAATGAGTGCAAGCAGGGGAAATGCCAGACGCTTATAAAAACCGTCAGATCTCGTGATACTCACTCATTATCACTAAAACAGTATAGGGGAAACCGCCCCATGATTCAATGACCTCCACCTGGTCCTGCCCTTGACACGTGGTGATTTTGGGGATTACAATGCAAGGTGAAATTTAAGTGGGGACACAGAGCCAAAACATATCAGTCATGAGCATTACCGATCTCTCCATTTATTCAGCTTTCTTTTGTGTCTTTCAATATTTTGTAATTTTCTCCTTGAAAATTTTGCACATACTTTATTTTTAACTACGTTCTATTTTTAGTTCTTATTGTAGAAGGAAGCTTTCAATTTACTGCATTTTCTGTTTGTTAATACAAATGCTATTGATATTTTTATGTTGACCTTTCAGCCAACAACCTTGCAAAAACTCTTTTATTATTTGTATGAATTTACTTATAAATTTCTCTTTACTCTTATATTCACAAAGAAGAATAGTTTTAATCTCTTCCCTTTTCATTCATTTTTCTTTTTCTTGTCTCATTTCATTGACAAAAAATACTCATACAAAGTTGAAAAGAAATGTTGACTAGGCACCCTTGAGTTCTTCCTGACTTTAATGGACATGTTTCTAAAGTCTCACTGTTAAGTATGGTAATTACTGAAGATATATGATAGATACATTTTATTTGGGAAATATTCTCCATCCCCATTTTATAATATTTGTAATCAAGAATTGCTATTGAATTTCATCAAATGCTTTGTCTGCATCTTTTGAAGATCAATCTGATTTTGTTAATCTATAGCTTATGTACTTTATAATAGATTTTTAGATATAATAAAGGATCTTCATATTCCTGACCATGGCCTTGGTTTAATTTTTACTGCTGGAATCAGCTTATTTGGGGTGTTACTTTTTTAATGTGAACATTTGTGCATAAATAAGTGATCTAAAATGTTAGTTTCTATGTTGCTCTTGTTCTGGCAAAATTCTACTGTGCCAAAACATGAGCAAAGTAAGTTTTCTCTTTTTTACTCCCTGAAATTATTTATAAAACATAAAATTATCTGTTCTTGAACATTTTTTTTAATTGTCATCAAAATCATCTGGGTCTGTTTAACTTTTTTTTTTTTGAGACGGAGTGTCACTCTGTCACCCCGGCTGGAGTGCAGTGGCATGATCTCAGCTCACTGCAACCTCCGACTCCTGGGTTCAAGCGATTCTCCTGCCTCAGCCTCCTGCGTAGCTGGGATTACAAGCATGAACCACCACACCTGTCTAATTTTGTGTGTTTTTAGTAGAGACAGGGTTTCACCATGTTGGTCAGGCCGGTCTCAAACTCCTGACCTCGTGATCTGCCTGCCTCAACCTCCCAAAGTGCTGGGATTATGGGCGTGAGCCACTGCACCCAGCCCTGTTTACTTTTTAAAACAGAAAACTTTGACTTTTCATTAAACATCTATATTAATTAAAATTTAATCAGGTTTTCTACTTCCTTTTACATCCTTAATAGTTTATTTTTTCTTTAAAAAAAATAGTAATTTCCCCTAAATTTTCAAACTTACTGACACAAACTTGTTCATAGATATTTTCTCGTTTATATGATCATATTGTAACTATGGATATGTCCCTATTTGTTCCTAATAGCATAATGGTTAAGAGCACAGGTTCTGGAGTCAGACTGTCTGAAGTCAAAGCCTGGCCCTACTATTTACCAATGTTGTGGCCTTGACAAAATTACCTAACTATGCTTCATTTTATAATAATGGTTTAGCTTAGTTTTAAACACAAATAGTAGTTACTGTTTCTCCTCAGTAAATGGAAGCTCTTGCTCCTTTGCCTTCTGGCATATGTTGTTGCTGAGGTAAAGTCTGCTGCTAGTCTGATGTCTACTCCTTTGTGAGAATCTTCTCTCATTGATAGCTGTTAAGATTCATTCCTTATCCCTGATACTCTGCAGTTTCACCATCATGTATCTACTTAGGAATTTACTTTTATTCATTCTCATTGGTACTCAGAGCACAATTTCAATCCAAAGACTCATGTCCTTCCTCAATTTCAGTACATTTCTCTATGATCATCTTTTAGAATGCTGATTCTTGACCAGGCATGGTAGCTCACACCTGTAATCCCAGCATTTTGGGAGGCTGAGGCAGGTGGATCACTTGAGCCCAGCAGTTCAAGATCAGCCTAGCCAACATGGTGAAACTTGTCTCTACTAAAAATACAAAAATTAGCTGGGCATAGTGGCAGGAGCCTGTAATTCCAGCTACTCAGGAGGCTGAGGCAGGAGAATCATCTGAATCTGGGAGGTGGAGGTTGCAGTGAGCCAAGATCATGCCACTTCACTCCAGTCTGAGCAACAGAGTAAAACTCTGTCTCAGAAAAAAAAGAAAGAAAGAAAAAGAGAGAGAGAGAGAGAGAAAGAGAGAAAGAAGGAAGGAAGGGAGGAAAGAAAAGAAAGAAAGAAGAGAAAAGAGAAGAGGAGAGAGAAAAGAAAGAAAGAAAGAGAGAGAGAGAAAGAGAGAAGGAAGGAAGGGAGGAAAGAAAAGAAAGAAGAGAAAAGAGAAGAGAAGAGAGAAAAGAAAGAGAAAGAAAGAAAGAAAGAAAAGAAAGAAAGAAAGAAAGAAAAAGAAAGAAAGAAAGAAAGAGAAAGAAAGAAAGAAGGATTCTTCACCGTTGCATTCCCTCTATTTTATTCTTCTGGAATTCCTATTAAAGAATATTCTAGTCTTTTAATCTATTCTCCATTTTTCTTAGCTTTTCTTTTCCGCACCCCTCCCCACCTCAATGTTTTTCATTTTTACCAGAATTGTTTCATAATTTCTTGCTCTTTTAAACAAAATCATGCTTTAATCTATCTCACTATAAATCTAAACATATTTATGTTAATGTCTTCTTCAGACTACTCCATGGGACAGACTTATGTTTGGATTCTTGCTTTTTTAACTGTGTTACCGAACTTTTTACTTATTTTGGAAATCTCGTTTACAGATTCCCTTTGAATAAGTGGATATCTGCCCCCCTCCCCTGTCTCTCTCCCTCTGTCTTATTATTATGTATCTTGTAAAGAGGGTGTGCATCCAAGTGTTACACATTAGAATTTACAAAATAAATTCATGGCAGGGTGCGGTGGCTCATGCCTGTAATCCCAGCACTTTGGGAGGCCAAGGCAGGAGGATCACTTGAGGTCAGGAATTCGACATCAGCCTGATCAATATGGTGAAACCCCATCTCTACTAAAAATACAAAAATCAGCTGGGCCTGGTGGTGTGCACCTGTAATTTCAGCTACTCAGGAGGGTGAGATGGAAGAATTGCCCAAACTGGGAGGCAGAGGTTGCAGTGAGCCGAAATTGCGCCACTGCACTCCAGCCTGGGCGACAGAGCAAGACTCCATCTCAAAAAATAAAATACAAAATAAAATAAATTTATACCAACAGAAATACTTTTTAACAGGTTATATATTAGATCTCTACAAATTTTTATGCCAAAAAGAAGTATTTTATTACATAAGAAAAATTGTGAAAACCACTATAGTCGACTCAAATCTAGAGCCCCAGAGAACACAAACTTTCCTGCAAGAACTCTAAGAATGCTCTAATTAGTGCTTTAGGCACATTCCAGCTACTGGGAAAAGTGGAAGGTTTCTCCCACCTGGTCTCACTACCTCCTGAGCAGAGAGCATGCCAACATTGAGCTGATGTGGTTCTGCACTAAACAAGGTCCAACAGTAGAAGCCAGAGATTTCTATGATGCCAATCTCATGCTTGTTCTCATTTATGAGCATAGCATTCCCTCACTTTCAAGTTTGTCTTTAGGACTATGCTTTCTTGGCTCTGACTCCAGTTAGACTTATTCTCATTCTATCTTGACTCTATCTTTCAGCTATCAATCTTCCACCTTAACCTAGACAGGCAAAGGGCATGCTCACAGCTAACACATGCCCCAATCCAGCTCATTCCACACACCAGGATTTGAGACCAAAGCCCCATACCAATAAACTGGGTACTTTTACCCAAACTGTTTCCTCTGCTCTTCTCTCTTTAGAACCTATAGTAGAAATTGTGAAATAATAATAGTTGGATGTTAGGGATTTAGGGTCAAATGTTCTGTTTTTCTTTCCATCTATCCAATAGAAGTCTTAGTACTAATCATAAATATTTACCTTGGAAGTAGTGGTAAAATTAACCCACAATTCCCTGCCTTGTCACTTTCTCCATCAGATACGCAGCAGAGCCCCTGAGGACCACTTCATCCAGACCCTTTCCAAATCTTAAAGATTTGGAGTCCCCCTACCCCATGCTGCAGGGTCTTGGCAGGGCCACCACAGTGAGGGGATCACAGACAGTTTCCAGGGCACCCTGTCATTCAGTTTCTCACTCTCAGGTCACGGGGTTGCAAGGCATCTCCAGCCCTTTTCCAATGTCCTCAATTATTCATCCCATGAACATAACTAAATAAGTTACTTTTGCAAAATTATCTGGGTTTTTTATTAACATTATCCCATGATGGTCATCATTCCCTGGTCTTTCTCTGGACTCTAACAATCCTTTTTTTTCTGGAGTACCCACAAGGAATACATACTTCTGTAACCACATTACCAAAAACTTCCTACATTCTCCAAAATGTTAAAAGTTTGGGGGAGACTACAGTGTCCCCAAAGAATGCTCCTGCTTCACTAACTTTATCTTACATGGAAACCAAAAACATACTGCAGAACCACACCAACCACATCAAGCAAGCCCAAGGTGTAGAAAGTGGTCCAAGACATGGTCTCTGAGAAGCAACTTATTTATCCTCTCTGAACCCCCAAACTCATTGTCCATAAACAGGGGTGATGACATCTGCCTCTTTGTGGTCATTGTGAGGATTAAGTGAAATAATTAATATGAGGTGCTTAGTAGTGAGGCTAAAGCTGAGAAGGTGCTCAGAAAATGGTATTAGTCTCATTGTACCCATAATTTGAGGTCCTTTGCCCATATAGTAGAGACGGAACAGTTCTTAAAGAGTTACCTGTTTGTGATGGAGAGAACATTTAGCCAGACAGTATTGAGCACTTCTATTCCAATGTGAGTGGGACTATGAAAACCTACCCACAAAGTCTGAGGAAACTGAGAGACCAAAGAAAGAGACTCACATATCCAGTTTCTCAGAAAAAAAAAAACAAAAAACAAAAAAAAAAACACACACATTTAATGGGGACTTACGAACAGAAGCTATGTCTGTGTCTTAGGGGGTGGTTAGACAAAATGGTGCATCCCCGGACATTACCCATCAGACCCAGAGCTCTTATAGGATAGGGGAGGAATGTGTAGGACAGATGCTCAAAGGCAGGATTTATATTAAGTACAATAACATCAAGGTCATTTTGACCTAAGGGCAGGATTTACAGTAAGAACATGAACAATAGATAAACTGGAAATCTTAGAGGCCTTCCCAGATCTGGGGTCAATCAGAAGTCAACATGGTAGATTAGCATCCAAGATGGAGTTTCTTTACCCCCCACAACTTCCTATAGGCCAATCACTCCTGTAAGCACTCTGTGTAAGGTTATTATTCCCCACCTTATTGACAGTGTCATGGAGGCATAGAGTGACTAACAAAAAGCCACCCAACTAAAAACTGCAGAGACAAGTCAAGGTGAAGAGGATGGGATGCAGATGTCCGAGTAAATAGAACTATGTGCAAAACATTTAAAAAGTGCAGATATATAAGGCACTGAGGTTCTTTGTGGGGAAGAGAGGGATCAGGTGTCGGAAGTGGCCCAAATTCTATGGGACTGATACAGGAGATTTAGATATTTGGGATAAAACTTAAGCGTTGTGAGAACATATGTAGACGTGAACAGACAGCTGGGAACACGTACACAGGCATTCATATAGGTACAATCTGATTCGAGCTTAAATGATGGACCAAGAGTTTAGTTTTGAGTAATTCTGGACTAAATTTATTATAACTGTAAGAGATAAGGGATAATTTTACCATATTTAGATGGAAAAAAAGCAAGTTTTTTTCAGACCATCTAAAATGTTTACAATATAATCAGTTATGGAAAACTTACGAAGTTATCTATGAGTATTCTAGAAAGATCTCTAGAAATTGTGTTCCTGAACTTTAAGAGTTACTTCCTAAATTTTCTTTCCTTCCTATAATGCAAAGGAGCCATTGATATCATTTAAAATTGTGGGTTTTTTCTCTGTATGATTTGAATGCTGGCTTCAAGCTAAATCTCCATCTCTTTTCCCACTACCCAATTCAGTCCCTTGCAAGCTAAATACCATCATACCAAGGGCAAAGCCAAATCAACAATAATAGAACAGGGAAGACTCAGGGGGCTGAGGTGAAACTGGCCCTGACAGGTGATTGTGACGGGAAGAAGTCCATTCCAGGAAGCAGAGCAGTATCCAAAGTGCCAGGCAATAGACAACAGTTGTGGCCCAGTAGGGCTGTCAGCATAATCACCATTCGGGTTCTTCCTGACTGCTGCACAAAATCAATTCACTGAGACTGAGGCATTGCAGCAGAGAAAGAGTTTAACTGATGTGAGGCCAGCCACACGCAAGACAGAGTTACCACTCAAATCACAAATCAGTCTCCCCGAAGGCTTGGAGGTTAGAGTTTTTATGGACAATGTGGTGGGACGGGGGCTAGGGAATGTGTGCTGCTGATTGGTTAGGGAATGAAGTCATAGGAGTGTGGAGAAAGTCCTTGTCCACTGAGTCCTCACCACTGGGCGAGGCTACAGGACCGGTTGAGTCATGAGTTACATGTCCAGGCAGGGTCAGTCAGTTGCCAAAAAGTCTAAAAAAGTCTCAAAAGACCAATCTTAGATTCTACAATGATGTTATCCATAGGAGCAATTGGAGAAGTCACAAATCTTGTGACCTCTGGCCTCATGACTCCTGAGCAGTAAAGGATTATAGATACTACATCTATATCTTAGCAGAATTCAGACACCTCTCATAATCCTAACCTTGTGGCCTCTCATTAGTTTTCTGAAGACATTTTAGTTTTGGGAAGGGCTATTATCATCCTTGCTTTAAGGATAAACTATAAACTAAATTCCTCCCAAAGTTAGTTTGGCATGTGCCCAGAAATGACTGAGGATAGCTTAGCAGTCAGAAGCGAGATGGAGTCAACCATGTCAGATTTCTCTGATATAATTTTGCAAAGGTGGTTTCATCAGCATCAGGATGCCTCACCAGAGAGACCTGACATGGAGTCTAGGTGCCGCAACAGGAGATAGAGCAGAGCTACAGGGGACTCAGGAGGGGGTGGCACTTGGCAATCTGGACAGGCATTGAGCGTAAGAAAATTCTGTCTTCACACAGCACAAAAGTGCAATGTCTTAGAGTAAAGGCTGCATTCTCATCTCAGCAAGGGGCTCCCTACTGAAAAGCACAGTCATGATTAGAAAGGTATTCAACTTTTTTGAGCCTCAGTTTATCCAATGAAAAGTGGAGATATCAGTAATATCTACTTTATAGCATATCTGTGAAGATTAAATAGGATGACATATGCAAAGTGCAGTGCCCAGCACATAGTAAGCACTTCATAAATGTTAACTACTGTCTTTATCGTTATCATCGTTATTTTAAATCAGAGCTTGTGTCACCTGCCTGTGCCCAGTAAAAGGCTCCAGGCACTAGAAAGGAAACTAGCAGGATCAGGAAAGGACCCCTTGTGGAGAAAGTATGGCCCTGGGTGACCTTGGTGAGGAGTCAGGCACATGGGAACAAGATGGAACACAAATACAGGGACTGGATGAGAAACAAGGGCAGAGTCTCAGAAGGTCAGTTTTCATAGCTGGGGTGCAAAGTCTAAGGCAGACTCAAAGCCAACCCAGCAGAAACAGTGACTTGACTCTGAGCCTCAGGGTCTGGGGTGGAGCTCCTTAATGTCTCTAAGGTGCGGTTTAGTCCTAGAGACGAAGACAGGGCTGGGCTTGCAGGAGGTGGGGAACAGCTAGAGAAGACAATAGAGGGGAGAGATCAAAGCTCTGGGGGATCCTAAGCAAGACAGGTACACTGTCTAGGCTACTGCTTCCTCTTCTGCACAATGCACTCGTTGTGCAACTGGACTTGATTATCCATGATTGATGGAACAATGGGTGTTCATTGTTTTTTTCCCCCTGGGGACACGTGTCACAGGATTGCAGATCAAGTTTTACAACAATGAAGCAACCTCGAAAATGTGGTTACACCAGACCTCTGCTCTCCAAAAAAATGTTATGTCTTGCAGACATGAAACATTCATGAGTGGACATCAGAAATTCATTTTAAAGTGTGTATTTACTTGACTCCATGCCCATAAGAAAGCCTGCAACTTGCTTACAGTGAAAAGGTTTGAGGAGTTCCAAGGACACTGAGCATTTCCCCTAGAAGGGCCTGTGTCTTTAAAAGAAGGCTGTGTAAACAGCCCCAGGCAAAGTCTCCAGAATCACAAGGCTTTCCTCATGAAGTGTCAGCCTGGTTGTGTCAAGTCCCCAAGAAAGACTTCAGCATAATTTTCTCTGGCATGATGCTTTTTCATTCCAGTGCCAAAGATAGCCTTGGGTTTAGGCTTAGGAGAGAGCATGCAACTGGTTTAGGGCCCCAGAAGAACACTCCCTTACACCTTTTAATGTTTTACAATTCCCCAGAACAAATATATAGTGGTTTTCTGGCTTTTTAGCAAGAAACCTGGTGCCCACTAAGCCATCCTGGCACAGCCTTTGAAAATTTTTAAGATGAGTTGAAGTCAAGGAAAAACTGATCTGGGTAATTACAAGACACAAAAACAAAAGATCACTTACCAAAATGACTTGAAACCCTTTAACAAAACCATTGTAAATTGTGCTTTGGGGAGAACAAAACAATAAAATATTATAGCAAGTGAATGCTTTATTGCATTAAAAGCAGTCTCAGAGTCGTGGACTTTCCCAATTCTACTTCAATAATTTCTTATAATCTTTATTATTTTTAGCTTAACAAAAGCCCTGAGAAGCCAGTCTTCAAAACAATGATCCTTGTTACAGTGTAGGGGCAGTGACATAATGCAACAAGTTAAAATGGGACCCAATACAAAATCCAATGACAGCCCTCTCGTTGATGTATACTGTGTACACACACACACACACACACACACACACACACACACACACACACACGAGACAACCTCCCCTACTTTCTCCATTGAGCTGAGTACATTGGTTTGGCTAACAGGGGCAAGTTTTTGAGCAGGAAGGGAGTGTGTGGTCTTTGTGGAGCCCAGGAAGAGGCTATCACGTGGCAAGAGAGACAAGCAAGCGGGCTTTGCCAGGAGCCAGATAACACATTCCCACACTCTATCAGGAAAGGGAGACACATACAAAAGGCTGTCAGCCCCACCCACTGTGAGGACCCCGTCCAGGGAACTTGCAAAAATCAATCTTTAGATCCAACATTGCCCTGAGTCACCTTTGGCTTTCAATCCACCATTGGGTGGACTAAAGCCAACACAAAATTTAGAAAGGTGAGGCCAAGGTGAATCTCATTTATGACTACTATGGAGAGAAGCCTGCTCGAGTCATAAATATCTTCAGCAAAGTCAGATAGGAAAATCATCAGTAGCAGAAATACTAAACTGGGTTTGGAAGGTTTGCAAGGGGGGCAGTAAAACCAGCATTCGTGAAACTCACTATGAGCCATAGATTGTGCTGGCCCTTCCCATGGCTATATTATTTAATGTTTATTCTATAGGTTTGTTATTTAACCCTGAGTGAGAGACTGGATTGGAGTATTCCATTAGAAAAGTACAAAAAAGAACAGATTTCGTCAACGGTAGGCTAACCCCAATCCCTGCTCAGAAAATGCCAATCCAATAAACATTTTGGCACAGTGAAATCATGTGCCAAAATCCCCTCTATGTGGGTTGTAAGGATTCTCCATCTGCCTTTTTGGGGGGTCAGAAAACTAAATACAGGAAGTCAGAGCATGCCCAGAGTCGAGGAAGTACTAATACCATCAAATTAGGAAGCAGACTTCCTAGATGAAATTACAACAGTTGCTTACATTCGCATTGTGCATTTTATTCATTCAATAAATATTTACGGAGCTGCACAGAAAAGAGAGCAAGACATTCTCCCACCCCTCCCAGAGCTAACAGCTTGATGTGAAATGTCACACACAAACAAGAGACAACTGCAATGTTGTGCGTGAAGGAAGGAGAGGCTGATGGGAAGGAACCCTGGAGAGTGCCCAACCCAGACTTCCCAGGGGGCTCCTGTGAACTTCCAAGAACCTTTCTAGCAGCAGGCATCATTGTCAATTTTACCGATGAGGAAACCAATAATTAGAGAGGCTACGTGCCTTGCCCAAGTCAAATACATACATTTAGAAGGGGAATCCTGATCATATTACACCATACAGCATCTAGGCATGAAATTTTTTATCCCTAAAGCAATAATTTATTGAACAGGACACAGAAGACTGGAAAGGGCTGGAGTTTTCAAAAGTCCCTAACCTAATCTCAGGGACTAGTTTTAGAACTGAAAGAATTTGATTCAACAATTTTAAGTCTCTGTTTTAGTCTTACCTTTTAGCCCCACAAAATAATGGGTCTGGCTCAAATTCCCTTTGGAGAAACCACTGGGGACTCTACCTCTGTACCCGAGGACCTTTCTATTAATAGAAACTACAGCTGACCGTTAACATTCATGAAGACTGACATCATGAGAAATTTTGAATGCTCATATTTTCAAATGCCTCTGCAGCAAATAACTCTTTATAAAATGCAGTCTTTTATTCATTGCTTTAAGAAACATTTTATTGCGAGCCTGCTACATAAGCCAGGCAATAAAATATAATCAAACAATTTAAATGACCTCTTTGGAGCAGAAAACAAGACAGCTGGGTTGAGACTAAATACCAAGTGGTCAGCTGGGTTCATTCACCAGGGAAGTGACTCATCTCAGTGTATCAGCATCGCTATACGTGCATTCAAATCCCTGTTTCAGAAAAATTATAAGTACTACCGTTCATGGATTTTAGATCATTGGCATGTAATTGAGACCATAGTGTTAAATCTGTAAATG
This sequence comes from Homo sapiens, assembly GCF_000001405.40. NCBI lineage: Eukaryota > Metazoa > Chordata > Mammalia > Primates > Hominidae > Homo > Homo sapiens. The sequence goes on along the minus strand of NC_000012.12, from coordinate 42,742,032 downwards.
TCATGAGTTTGTACACTCAATGCTAGAGGCTTGAATTCTAGTGCTGTATAGCTGTGTGGCACTGGATTGATCACTTAACCTCTCTGTGCTTTGATTTACCCATCAGAAAGACTAAATTAGATGATCTCTAAGATTTCTCCTGGCTCTAAATACTGATTCGACTTTGCATAAAGGCAGCTTTGAAGTTGTGAATTTTAATCTTAAGGGTATTTGTTAAAGTATCATCTCAATTCATTTTCATAAAAATATTTTTTTTTATTTTCAGGAAATAGCCTGTTAAACTTTGTCTCTATTATACAATTATAAAACCTAGAAAGCAAGTGCTTATGATTGTGTATAATAGAGAAGCAATAGCTGCAGCAGCCGTAACCAATTGAGCAAATAAACATTACTCTTTCTATAAAACTGAGTAGCCAAAATATATATTTTTATAATCAAACTGTACTAGGGCTTCATGGAGTGCAAGTTCCTTGATTCTTCAATCTATAGGAACTTAAAAACTATTTTAAAATATCCTGGACTTTTGACCATGGTATAATCATATATCTCTCTTACTACTTATAATTGCTTTTAAGCGTGTGAGTGAAATTTAATTCTAGATCATCACTTTCCAAAGTAGTCCCATGATTACTGTTGCAGGTTTGCTACTAACTGCTCTGTGGTACCTTTCCCAAACTTGCATAATGGTGGTGATAAAACTGCTGCTAATGATTAATATTCACTGGCTGCTCATAATATGTCTACAAAACCATATGTGCAGCTCAATCCTTCCAGCATCATGGACTCAGAGACAATATGTTTCACATAGCAGGACAATCAACCACAAATGCTGCAGTCACTTTCAAAGGTTACTGTAAAGCATTGGTGGAAAACCGGGCTTTCTGTGAACTAGATGCAGCTCACAGATGTGGGCTCTGCAATTTTTTTTTTTTTACTTCATTGCCAACATTTACAAAATGAGATATGAAACATTTTTTAAAATCTGGATTTCTTGATTTGAATCAGAAGATATGGCAACAATAACACCACGATTTTACATGCTAACAACTGACCAGAAATGGCTAGCCCCTTAGATGGGCTTCCCCAGCTCCTCACTTTAAAACTTTGACTATGATTAGATGCCTCCTATAAGTGGAATCATCATGCACTATTTGTCCTTCTGTTGGCTTATTTCACTCAGCATAATGTCCTCACAGCTCATTCATGATGTCCACTATTAAAGAATTTTCTTCTTTAAGGCTGGATAGTGTTCCATTGTATGCATAGGCCACATTTCTTTACGCATTTATTTGTTGATGAACACATTATCATTACTGTGAATAGTACAGCAATGAACATAGAAGTGCTAATCTCTCTTCAAGATGCTGCTTTCGATTCTTTTGAATAAACACCCCAAAATGGGACTGCTGAATTATATGGTAGTTTTATCTTTAATTTTATTAGGAACCTCCATACTGTTTTCCATAGCAGCTGCACCATTTTGCATTCCCACCAACAATGTAAAAACTGTTTTAAAATAATCTTTTAGGAAGAAATATGAACATCACGGCCTATGTTAACTCAGAGGAGTGTTCTCTTCACATGTGGTTTATAGCCTGTGCCTGGCACACAGGAGGCTTGCAGAAATGTTTGCTGGACCAAACTGAACAGACTGCAGTACACAAGAGGGAAATTAGATGCCCATTTTATGATCTTCAGAAACAAAGTTGGAAATCAGCAATTTCTGATCAGATTGCAGCCATGGGTATGGGATCCTTGGCTGCACTGGCAGCAAAGTAGTGGTAGTGTCTTGTTGCCCTTTCCCCCTATCTGACATGCTTGCATACAACACTCAGGACAGAATACTCTCATTAAACTAGTGGCTGCTCCCAAGCCATCCACAGTTCTCCAATCAACACCAGTTTCAGAACCATGTTGGTGGTGATAGGAGCCAAGGAGTTTGAGATTGTATTTATGATCTGCTTCCTACAGCAAGAAGCAGCTGCCATATCATGGAAAACTCAGGGAAGTATTCCGAGCACTGGCCCCTCAGCTACTGAGGTGGTCCACTTGATCCCCAAATTCTACAGGCTTGTTGCCTTTGTGGGCTCACACAGCCTCATGCAAGCAAGCATGAGTGTAACACACACACACGTTGACACACGCTGAGGTGGTATGCTTGCAAGAGTGAAACCACGGCACAGAGACAGGCCACACAGATTCTCTGCTCATGTCTTTCCAGCCAAGAAGTTTCGAGAAAAGGGTAACACATTTATTACATACTAAGCCAGAAATTTAAGCCTTGGGAAAATCTCTGTATTTGCAAGCAACATTGAATAAAGACACAACATCTGTCTGGGGTTCTATTTCCTCATCTGTAAAAAGAGAGGACCAGAGGTTCTCAAATATTTTAGTGGCAAACAATGGCAGAATGCTTTTTCCCTAAAGAAATCCTACTCAGAACCACAATATATAAAACAAACGCTGACCTGTTCTTGTTGAGAGGGGCTGAGCCTTCCTTCCTGTCCCCTTCCCCAACCCCCATACCATGGGGAAAGTCTGAAACTCACTGCACTAAATGAGCTCAAAGCCTTCTTCTGGACCCAGCTTTCTGTGAATTTATAAGTTAAACTTGTTTGTGTATATTTGTAGCTCATGCTATATAGAATATGATATGGCTAAACAGCAACGCCTTTTGGCTGCTACAGTCAGGTGTTGGCAGGAGGCTTCTTGTGGTGTTCACAGAAAATGTTAGAGCTTTCAGTCTTTTGCTCAACAGAGGACAGGTTTCGGCTCAGTTACCCTGGGCAGGGATCACAAACCTTCCCACCAACAGAGCATGGAGAGAATGAACTCAGAGAGCGGGATCCCCAGCTGCAGAGCACAAGGAGATGGGACTAAAGAGCAGGGCCCAGGATGGGCCACACGAGGAGACAGATGTCACCTAAAACATTATCAAGCCATTTCTGTCTTTATCTGTGTTACTCACACATTCACCTATTTTCTGTGAAAACAAAGACAATGTAAGGAGAGTTAGTAGCATAATCTTGGAATTCAATAAATGGTATTTCAATCTGAATGTCATACCTTAGAGTCTGCAGAGAAGTGGCATGCTTTCGTTTTCTGATAAAAACCTAAAAATGTTGCTGTTTACTTGACCATGCAGAGAATCAAAGGTCAGCTAAATATACCGCATTAACATAAAAGCCCCAATAATTTTTTTCTACGACCGGAAAAAAAATTACTCTTAGAATATCATTGAATACTCTCAATAGCTTCAACATGAAAACAAGGGATAGCTGAATGAATTCTTTTTGAGAACACATTTGAGTAGAGACTTTTAAATATAAAACCATCTTCAAGTCAAAAATGGATTCTGCGTAAAATATTCATTCCACATTCTGAAATGTATTATAAATGCAAAGTGGAATATTTTAAGTAATTGTATTCCAGATACTCCCTTTTATACTCAGATACACTGTTTTTTTGAGAACCCATTTAATCAGTAGAAAACTAAAATGTGAATTTCTAAAGGTAAAAATGTTCAAATGTGATTTTTGCTATCATTTAAAACATGCTTTGTTTAAGCTCTCAAAATGAAGCAAAATGTAAATTATACTGTATATTGCAGTAGACTAATAATCAAAACAATTTAACTGCAAATATTGTAATTAAAGTAGCAAGAGACTCTCCTATCTAGAAATTGCACCGACTTCTTTGCTTTACTGCTCTGCTTATCTGCTTCATAAAAATTCCTATTCATTCACTTTGAAAAATGCTGTACTGTAAAAGAATAACAAATAGAGGATATCATTAATGACTAAAAGAAAATAGAGAAATTTTGAAGATGCTCCCTGACTTTGAAGTATAATTGCAAAGGCCTAAAAAGTAATAACAATAGTTTTATGAATACTCCCAGGCAGTTATTTCTCTTTTCCTCTAATTTAATTCAATCACTCCTTTTACCTCCTCTCAAACTTATTTGATATAACTTTAAAAAGTTGCCCAGTGATAGGTTCCAGTGCTGAGATTTGCAAGATTATGGGTTTGTTGAACACCCCTAGGCACGTGGCATAGAGTTTGGAGATTGTTGGCACAACCAACAGACTAGAGGCACCATGCCAGTTCTCTGCTCTGCTGCCTGCTAGATCCACCCTTCCAGCCTCAGTTGCCAGTAACAGCATTAAACTTCCCTGCTAATGGCACTTGCCATTTAAGGAAACTTTCAAACTCACAAGAATAGTATTATGGGACATCTTATCCAGGAACAATTGTTCTGCTGTCTCCAGTTCACCTGGATGGAAAGCAGCACATGTGTCCTGAAGAAATGACGACCAGTCTAGAGCAATACCAAGGAACAGGCGGGTTAATGGCACTTGGTTGAACTTAATGCTGTGAATTAATTCCTTCCAGCTGGTCATTTATCCTCAGGAAATGTCCTGATTTTCAACCACTGTTTTCTAAATCTTGGAACAGATTATCTCTCTTAGAATCTTGGAGCTGTCAATGCATGGAAGCCTTTATGCGGTTGTTTGGGAGATATTACCCAAATTTTCCAGATCTGGGAAAACTGTGTTTTCTCCTCCAGTCTTGCTGGCACCAATGAAGATTCACAGCAAATCTCATCAGCTATATTTGATAACTCCAAAAGAATACATACCCGATCTAATAGTTGTTTCTGGTTTTTTTGTTTGTTTGTTGCCAATGTGATTGCTCACATAGATATTATTCTCAACAATTTGTATAGCTTTTCTTATTCAGGACACATAATGTAATGAGATGTTCCTTCTCGCAGGATAATGTTAAAGAAATGTATGAATCCTTACCCCTTCTAATTACTGACTTACAAAAATCCATTAGAGGGGACGCGTAAGCCTAAGAAAAAAAATTAAGGAAAATGTAATAAAGAACAAGTTAAGACTTTCCCAAGATGTCTGAAAACAAATAAAACTATGTTTCATGCCAGAAAACTTGACAGCTGCTACTCTGTAATTTTTTAAATATTTACTATAAACAGCAGTAAGAATAGACTTCTTTTTCCTCTAAAGGCAGTTTGTGTTTTTGGTAAATGTCATTAGCACCAACCAGCAGGTCCTCTTGACAATGTGGTTTATGTGCTATGAGGTTAGGGTTTGAGAATATGGAGAACATGGATTTCTAGCAAACCAAAAATTGTTCAGAAAATATCACCATCACATCATTCCTGAAGCCCACTCCATTAAGAAGCCCCATTGAAATACCTCCTCACTACTACTTCCTAGTAAAACTTCACTAAGTATTCTCATTGGGTTAGATTTTTCTTTTCTGATATAATTTATCTTGCCCAGATCTAGAAAATAAACTATGACCATGTTTCAATATAAATCCCTTAATTTTTATTTCTATGAACATTTATTTGCATGTCAAAGAGGCATTTGTTATTTGCCTCATTTGCTAAATGCTTCATCATCATGATTCCCACCTTTGCCCCAAAAGGAAGCAGCAGATAGTCTCCCTAACTCTCTCGTAAACCCACGCAGAGGAAGAACAGCTTTGCCTGAAAAGCCAGGCAGTTTACAGGATTACCAGAAAAAACTAGAGGGTAGTCAGAAGAGTCCAAACTTGAAGCCCCACAAGACGATCATCCTTATCCAAAGACACCTTGATTAGAATCCCCAAGCATAGCTGTGTAGCCCTTTCACAGAATAAGAATGCCTGCAAGGAGAGAAAGCCCAGGGAAAAGCTGTCAGTGAATGGCAGGGCATCTTCCTTGAGCCCCAGAACAGACCCAACGCTGATTAGCTGCTTTGGTCTTGAGCCAGCTGACTCTGCCACAGAACATGCTGGGGCTGACTGTCGCCTGCACGCCTGCAAGGAGAGAGACTGTTCCGTTCACTGAGTGCATTTTTGGAGACACTGTAGCCAAGAGGTAAAGTGTCAAAATACCTTCCTAAAATAGATAGCGCGCCTGCCAGGGATAAATGCGTACAAACCAAGGCTACGGCATCGTGGCTGTAGACAGTTGTTGGAAGCATCTGCTCGTATCTCAAAGAGGAATGAATATCAATCTTGAAGGGTGTGAGTGTTCTGGTGAGTCAACCTAAGACAGAAGCGTACAAGTTAATTATAGTTATCAGAGATTATTCTGTATTAGCACAGCAGCAAACCTGTTAGCCTGGTCTTTAGCACTTCTGTTAACAGGCAAAGTAGTCCCTTTATGTATCATGGTTGTTCCAACACATTGAAGCTTGCCAAAAAGATTTTTTTTTAAAAGTCCATAAAGCTGACTGATTTTTGATATCTGTGTCTAAAGCTTCAACAAAGCCTCTGCTAATGAGAAAAGATTATGTTCAAAGTTACAATTTGAAAACCCAAAGAGAAGATGTCCTACAATTTAAAAGACTCAGTGGAAATCTTTTTACCCCGTTATCACACAACTATCAGAGCCTGAAATAGAATGCTGAACCCCAAATTCATGGCAAAGATTGCCACCATGATTTTAAAATACAGATAGACACTATCTGTTAGAATGTGAAAACACAAGAGCGTTCAAAGTCAAGTTGCTGCCTCTGACAGTGACTCAAAAAGACAGTTTGTAGAAGTCTAGATTCACTTTCATTAAAAAGTAATCATGGTTAGAAGGGTGCATAGGACTCAGCTACTGCAGCCTCCTGTCTTCCACCCTCCACCCTCCAACCTTACTTTGAGGAAATAAGACATAAAGAGCCAGGAGATCTGGCACTGTCACACAGCTAGTTAGGGCCAAAGCAAAAAGCAGAACCCAGATCCACTGACTTCTGGCTTACTGCGCTGATCAACCTTCAAACATTAGAGATGATGCTGATACTGTTCTAGCTTTTACTGAGAACTTCTTCCACATAAAGCTATTCTGTAAAACATTTCACAAGCCCAGTTCTAATCCTTTTTCAACAGTGAAACAATTAACAGTTTTCATGTGTCTAGCATGGATACCTGGTTATTACATATAGCTAGCCTGAAAAGAACATGGAACACTGATGCCAAAATACTTTTTCACACAAAAATCCAAGATGAAGGTGAGGCATAAAGCCACTCTTTGAATATACAACCTCCCACCATTTTTTCAGATTTAAGTTTTTAAAAATAAAAGGAATTTCAAACAGCGCAACTACATGGCAGGTATTGAGATCATGGTGGTCTAGACCTGGAAATCTAGGTTGGCAGATTGAGAATGAACCCTCGTTTTTCTCCCAAACCCAGTGCAGCTCAACCCCAAATCACAGAGAATGAGGCCATATCTCACTAATCCCAACCCAAATCAATCCAGAGAGTGAAGGGAATGCTGCCAGGTCTTCCCCTGACATATCATCCAATCCAAGCCGACTAGCCCAAGCAGAACGGGTCAAACATTCCAAAAGTAGATCTGCCAAAAACAGGGTAAGGCTCAGATTTCAGCCACAGTTGAAGAGCAACATGGAGGTGTAAACCCCGGTATTCACTGCCATCTGATGCCATCATTGCTCTGATAGAAACAGAGCAATACAAAAATATAGACTGGTACCACTGTGGCACCAGCGTGGATTCAGCATGAACGTGAACATGAAAAGGCTGCACTGGGCAAAACTGTGAAGTTTGCTTTGGTTCTCTATCCTTCCTCCATTTCAAGGAGCCTCTTTCCTTCCTGGAGGGATCACAATCCCTGGGAGTCTCCACCTTCATTTCCACCCTGGTTTTTCAGAGTCCTTGCTAAGGCTTTGCTCCCGAGCCTGCCACAGGCTCTGAACCTGGCCAGACATCCTCCTTAGCATCCCAGTTTAGCTGCTCTGTGTCCTGCTTGCTGCAACCCACCCCGCCCCCACCCCCATCTATGGAAAGATGATGACAGATAACCCGTATCAGCTTATTAATGATTGAAGGTGATTTAATGCTGGGTTGACAGCATTCTAAAGATAGAAAAAAGTGGCAAATTATCCTGTGACATACCCAGGTACTTGCCAATAACTGTCAACCCTCATAAATCAGGATGGGGAAAGAGAGCACAGCAATTCTGTAGCAAGTATCTCACAAGTCAAGAAGACAAGGTCACACAAATCAGGAACCAGGCCAGGGGGAAAAAAAAGAGCGGGAATGAGGGAGATGAGTTCTTTCAAGCTTTACTTTGTCTGTGTCTAAGACCATTGCACACGCATTAACTCCTTTTATTAGGGATGCAGAAGGGCAAGGAGTCAAAGATTTGGAACCAGACCTCATGGTGTGAATCTGGTCCTACCACTTACCAGTTGAGTGGCCATGGCCCAGTTGCTTAACCTTTTTAAACCCCACTTTCCCCATCTGTATTTCATAGGATTATTTTGAAGATTATATGAACTAATGAATGTCAAGGTGCTTTGCATGAACCTTGAATAGAGTAGGTGCTCGATAGGGCTAAATCATTACTATTACTCTTTTTAATATTAACCATCCTTATCACAGCAAGGCTGTGCACTTTGCATTTTGTCATGCTTCGTCTGCAGTCAGTAGCACAGCCTTGTATCACCAAAGGTGGAAATCTTGTGGTGCCAAAGAGTGCAGGTTTTGCCACCACACAGAGCCAAATTTAATTGCCCACTCTTCCACTTACTGTGTGTCCCTGAACAAATCACCTGACCTGAGCTTCCTCAGTTTCCTCATCTGAAAGTAGAAGTAATAACATCCATCTCCTAGGTTTCCTGCAAAGATCGAATACAATAAAGTATGCAAAATGTTTAACACACAGTCCAGTACACAGGAAATGCTCAATAAACAATAGCTCGTGGTGTTAGTAGTAGAGGTAGTATTCCACCAAGGCATGTGTGCCTCAGATGACTCACTAATCTACCCCAGTTCCAGTCATGACCCAAAGGCCTCCATCCATCACTTCTCATCAGATGGCACCTCATGAGTAACTTTGCCTAGCCTTCACCCTTTGAAGTCAGTCTCTCCACACATTACTTTGTTTATTCACTTCAGTGCAATTGTCACAGTCTGTAATTAACTTGGGGCTTTGGGTTTACTTGTTTATTTTCCTTTTCTCCTCACTGAAGGGTAAACCCTACGAGAGGAAAGGGGCCCTTATCTGTCTTGTTCATCATAGAAAAGAATCTGGCTAATGGAAGGTATTCACAAAATATCTGAGAAATAAAAAAAGGAAAATAAAGGCAAGATGCTGATGGAGAAAGGAACTATTTCCAGGTTCCTTACATTATAAAATTAGACTGTATGATCCACAAGGGAACTGTGTCTATATATCTAGTTCCCCATTATATTAGTCCATTCTCATGCTGCTAAAGATATACCCAAGACTGGTAATTTATAAAGGAAAGAGGTTTAATTGGCTCACAGTTCAGCATGGCTGGGGAGGCCTCAGGAAACTTACAATTATAGCAGAAGGGGAAGCAAACAAGTCCTTCTTCACATGGCAGCAGCAAGAGGAAGTGCCAAGCAAAAGGGAGAAAAGACCCTTATAAAACCATCAGATCTCATGAGAACTCACTGTCCTAAGAACAGCATGAGGGTAACTGCCCCCATGATTAAATTACCTCTCACTAGTTCCCTTCCATGACATGTGGCGATTATGGGGAACTATTCAAGATGAGATTTGGGTGGGGATACTGCCAAACCATTATGGCCCATGATATACCTACATCGAGCAGAGTAAACTCATAATTAATGTATGTTAAGTGAACATATGTATGAATTCTACTCTTAGGCCTAGCCATGCTGGCCTGTGTGAGCCTTGAGATACTCTGCTGAAGGTATTCATGGGGAAACAGTGGGAGGTTGTTCAGGCCAATCATCAAGTATCTGCCTCATGCCTATAAGCCTGTGTTTCTCAAAGTTTAGTGTGCATAGGAGTCACCTGTGGACACTATTAAACTCTATTCATGGTTTTCACCACAGCCAATACTGGATTATAAGCAACATGGGTAGGGGCTAAGAATCTGCATTTTCGTTGAGCTGTCCCAGATGTTTCTGATGTAGGATGTTGAGGACCACACATTGAGAAATGCTCTCTGAAGTGTCCATTTCCTGAGATGGCATTTAAGACTTACTCTTTTCTCGCATAGTGAGATGAGACAATCTGGTTGGGGAGATGAGACAGTAAGCTGTTATAGAGCAGTGCAAGGCATATTCAAGGGTTAAAATGACACAGGAATGCAAGAGTACTTTGGGAATGCATACAAGGAGAAGTCTAGATGGGCTCTGGGGCTGCAGTTGACTCTTGAGCTTGAAAATAAGAGGGAGAAAGGCCATTCCCCTACTGGGCCAGAAAACTAGAACTAAAAAAGCATCCCCTGTCTATCACGCCACTTGACTGAGCAGTGAGTTACCTACCAGTACTGTTGATATTCTCGACATCTCAGAAAAAATATATCCTGGTATGGATTTTGTAAGACAGCACAGGGGTAAAGATTCCGTAAATCTCAAGGGAAGGCAAACATTTTTAGGAGCCCACTAAGGTCATGGTGAGCCTCACTTTCTGCCCAGTATCTTTTGTTAGACCACTGTGTTCAGTTCTAAAGAATAACTTCATGGATGAGACACACAGTTTAAAGGGGTTTTGAGTAGAATGGGGCATAAAAAAGTAGTGGATGAAGAATAAGGAAGCTGGAGTCCCTGTTTGTCACAAGCTTTGTGACCTTGGGCAAATCCCTAATGTACATGATTTTCATGATTATGCATTGAGTGTACACCTAGGGTAAGTATTTTTCTGTATGTAAAAAAAATGCATTCAATAAAAAGAAAAGGGGAAAAAATAGAAAAGAGAAAAATGTATCCTGATTTCAGAAGTTTGAGCTCTTCCCATGGCATGACCCGCCCAACGGAGGCACAGCTAATGGTGTTTCCGGAGAAATTCGTTGATGACATTCTTTAAAAACATAAATGAGAATGCAAAACAACTTTGAAAAATTCCATTTCTTTTTTTAAGCTTGCTTTCAAGGGCTGGATGAATGTGGGAGACACGGAATCAGAATGGATACTTAAGAATTACATAAAGAGAAGATGACAGATTTGAGGGGGAGAAGTTAACAAGCTCTTACTTCATTAGAAGAAAAACTGTCAGTTCAATTAGTATTTATTTCATTTCTGCAGGAGGTAGGACACCGCCATATGTAATCAAAATACCGAAGAGGATTTATTTCATGCATTAAATAAATTCAAGCTAATTAGCAATCATGTTCACTTCCTTCCAAAACTGTACCATACTATGGCTCATAACAAAATATGTCATATTCCACAATTGGAAAGTCCCTTAGCTCCAAGAATTCTGTTGCCACCCAAACTCAACACTTTTACTTACAGGAAAAATTATTTTAAAATTATATTTAAAATGTGTTCTCTGTGTCTAATCATTTTACTTCATTTTGTACACCCACTTAAAATTTGAATCATGACTAGGAAGAGGGTGGTCTTTCTCACTCTGCAGTTTTTTAGTAGGTTATTTTAAAGATATTTACGCTGTATAAAATAAAAAGGAAATAGACAATGCTGACAGTTTGCCTGGTCAATGTGAAATGTTGGCATAATTCCACTCTCGGCTCTGCAGGATTCTAAAAAGATGAGCTCATGTATTTAGTGTAGGATTTAACCTTCACTTCTGTCCCCTCAGGGATTCTTCCATTCATGGAGTTCCTTCTGAAATCGGGACAGAAGATGAGTTTGTGCAACAATACCTAAGAATGTATGCGGTGAAGTGGGTGGTATTGAATAATCAGCTTGTTAGGTATTCTCAGGCTTGTACAAAAGCTGGTTAGGTCTGGCTTGAGGGAATATTAGGTTAAAACAGGCCAGTTTAGACAACTTCATGTAGTTGCTCTGTAACATAAAAATAATGTCCATCTCCTTGCTGGATGCTCAAAGGGTAGAGGGGAAACAAGTGAATTTGCTACTCTGTGTGTGATTTCAATCAACAAGGAAGAACTGGTGATATGGAAGCTACTAAAACCTTGGAAGAGATAGTGTTAGCTTCAAGTTGAACAAAAACAAAGAAAGAGAGAATAGATACATGTGTGTTCTCTTAGACTCTAGATAGAATATTTTAAAATCAGAGAAAAGAGCCTATGGAAGATGCAACTATAAAAAGAAACACATCTCAAGAAACTCTAAAAATTACAATCTCTACTAAAAAAAAATTCCTGAGCAATCTTTAGGTAAAGAAGAACTGAATTAAAGACTGTGATTGCACAGGCTGCTTGTTTATGAGTTTCAATTTTAGAAGAACTTGAACACAAGCAGTCCAACCAGCTCCACAGCCTGGCTCCCGCTTGCCCTGCCAGAATGCCTCCTCCATATCCTGCACCCTCACAACACAGCTAAGAGCTTTTACTTATCGAGCATTTACTATGAGTCAGGGCAAGTTGTTAACTGCTTTTAAATATCATTTAATCCTCACCATGACTCTGCAAAGTAAGTACTGTTATCTCTAATCTAAAGATCAGACAACTGAGGTTCAGAAAGATTAGGTACATTGCCTTATATCACGCAGCTAATGAGCAGCAGAGCTGGAATTCCTATAAATAGGTTTATATTGTATAAATAACTTATAAGGATGGTGTAATGAACAGACGGGAAGATGACATAACATTAGCCGAGGACAACAATAATAATGAAAATTAAGACTCCGTGTCTGGCTGCAGTGGCTTACAACTTTAATCCCAGCACTCTGGGAGGCTGAAGCAGGAGGATTGCTCATGGGACCAGTTTGAGACCAGTCTGGGCAACATAGTAAGACCCCATCTCCACCAAAAATTTAAAAATTAGCCAGGTGTGGTGACCCATGCCTAAAGTCCCAACTACTCAGGAGGCTAAAGTGGGAGGATCACTTGAGCCCCAGAGTTTAAGACCACAGTGAGCCAAGATCACAACACTGCACTCCAGTCTGGGTGGCAGAGTAAGACCCTGTCGCTAAAAAAGAAAAAAAAAAAAAACTTAACGTGCACTTAGTCTAAATATTTCACCTCTACAGTTATTTCTCTATATCTGTTTTCTCTATGTTCCCAGTAACCCTATGCAGTAGGAAATTTTATTACCCCATTTTGCACAGGGGAAAACAGATTAAATAACCTACCTAATGTTACACAGCAGGATTTTGAGCCCATGCTCTTAAACAGTAGGTTATAATGCCTTGTAAAAAGAGGCAGTATTGGCTGATTCCTCTTTAACTTCAATTAGTCATTCAGCAAACATTTCTTAACCACCTGCTGGGAGTCCAGCACGTTTTTAAGCACTGGAGACGCAACAGAGAGCAAAACGAACAACACAGACAACTGAAACGTCCTGCTTCCACAGAACTTAAATTCTGGTGGGAGAGTCAGATGAAAAACAAGATGGTATAAAATGTGAGGTACATTAGATAGTGATAAGTAGTGCTAAGGAGAAAAAGCAGAGAAGGAAATAGAAAGTATGCATAGGAGAATGAAATTTTAGAGAAAGTATCTGCAAAAGTCTTCACTAAAACTTTTGAATAAACACCTGAAGGGAGTGAGGCCATGAGCCACGTGGGTATCTGGACAAAGGACATTTTGAGCATGGGAATGGCAAGTGCAAATGTCCTGAGGCAAAAGCCTATCTGGTGAACTCAGGAAAGCAGTGTGACTAAAACAGAAGGAGGAAACGTGATGGAAGAGGAGGTCAGAGAGTAACTTGGGATAGAAGTAACAGGGAGCCAGATCATTTAAGGCTTTGTAGGTCATGCATAGGGCATTGGCTTTTATCTGAGCAATCTGGAAAAGCATTGCAGTATTATGAGTAGAGGAATGACATGATATGGCCTATGTATTGGAAAGATTACACTAGCTGCTGTGTGGAAAACAGATAACAGAGCAAAGGTGAAAGCAGGGAGACCAGTTAGGAAGCTATTACAAATATCCAATGAGAGATGATGGTGGTTCACCTAAGATGGTAGCCATGGAGGAGATGAGTGACCTGATTTGGGACATATCTTAAAGCTAGAGCCAATAGGATTTGTTGATAGTGTGAGACAAAAGATGAATCAATTAACTCCAAGGTTTGGGGGCTAATCAACTAAAAGAATGGAATTGCCATCTTAGAGATAAAGAAGACCATGGGAGTAGCAGTTTCTTTGAGAGGAGAGATGGATATCAGTTGTTCAGTTTGATCTTGTTCAATTTGTGATGCCTATTTGATATCCAAGTAGAAATTCTGATTAGGCAATGGGGGTATGAAGTACAAGTCTGAAATTCTATGGAGTGTCCAGGCTGAAGATAGATATAAATTTGGGAATTATCAACATGAAAATGTTACTTGAAGCCATGAGGCTGGATAAGATCATTTAGGGAGAGACAGAAAGAGAAGAAGACCAAGAATGAACACTGGGGTGTTCCAATATTTAGAGGTTAGAGTTAAGGAAGAACCAGTAGAGGAGACATCACTTTGCAAAAAGGTTAATGGAAACCAGAAGAGTGTGGTGTCCTTGAAGCTAAATGAAAAAATATTCCAAGGAAGAGAGATCAACCTACTACGTTAAATGCCTCTAACAGGCCAAGGAGAGGAAGACTGATAATTTGATCACTGTTTTTGAAAATGTGGTTGTCGCTGGTGACCTTAACAAGAGCAGTAGAGTAGAGAGGTGAAAGACTGACCACAGTCATGGAGACCTCAAGTGCAGACAATACATTTGATAAATTTTCCTATGACAGAAAATAGAAAAACAGAGCAACTGAAGAGGGAAATAAGGTCTATAGAGACCTGTGTTGAAGAGGAAAGAAATAATGCCTAAATTCTGGTAGGAATGATCCAATGCAAAGGCATTATTTGGTGATAAAAAGGAGCAGAGAGAATCCTGGCAGCAGTGCCCTTGAGTAGGCAAAAGCAATGAGATTCAGTGCCCGAGTGGAGGAATACAAGCCAAAGAGAAGGTACAGCATGTAGATAGAGATGTACATGGGTGACTAGGTGTGCTGAGAGGAACTTGTGGAGGTTTTCTTGCCATGGCTCCAATTTCTTTGGTGGATTGGAAAGCAAGGTCATCAGTTGAAACTCAGTGAGGGAGGAGACGTTAAAGCTCTGAAGAGAAGAAAGAGGAAATTAAATCATTGTCTAGGCAAACAGAAAATTATATGCAAAGGAAATACAGTCAAGCTGATGGGAGGAATCATGGTTCACTTGAGGTTACTGATCACGAATTTGAAGTGTGAACAGGCAGCACAGTTTTTTTTTTTCTTAGCTGTGTCTGAAAGGGGTAAAAGAGGGCCAAAATCTAGTCTGTGTCTCATGCCCAGAGAAGACACCTTTTCTTAATTCATCCACCCAGAAGGGTTGCCTCTGGTGTTTGACTGGTGGAGACACTAGATTGAAGGTCCTGGGAGTGTTGAAAGATTGTTGGAGCTAGGCTGCTGCAAGAAGTGGGCTATAAAGATGAAAAACATGATCTAGGAGCTGAATGTTTGAAATTAAGATTCTGGCAAGGTTCAAGTTAAGCATAAGCACAAGATCCACTGGTGTAAGACCATGTGAAAGTTTCAGAACCAAAATGGAGTTACTAGTGTTTAAAAGAAAAAAAGCTCTTTTGCTCCCTCTATCACCATGTGATACCCTGGCTCCTGCCTTCACCTTCCACCATGACTGTAAGCTCCCTGAGGCCTCGCCAGAAGCTGAGCAGATGCTAGCGCCATGCTTCCTGTACAGCCTACAGACACCCTCTGGAGGAAAAACCAGCTGAAAAATTTGAAAGGCCTAATTTGTGGCTGCATCACCCATATTAATTCATCCTTATGGAAAGACTGTGCAGGCACTGCTCTAAGAGTTAGGATTCAGTTTTCAAGGAGCCAATAGTGGGCAAAGAAATACCAATCTAATGTCAACTAATGGCAAATGAATGAAGTCTAAGATTCCTGAACATGCTTGACATTTCCTAAACCACACATTTTGGTTCTCTATGATCTATGATACAGGGATATATAGTTGTTTCATGAAAGGCTGTGGGGCTTCTCTTTTGTAACCACCAGTCAGCATCCCAAGGAGGCAGCCCTGCTGACAGATGCCAGGTGTGAACCATAAGGAGCAAAGACAGATGATTTGTCTGAAACTTAAGCATGCCCAGCCTTAGATCTTTCCATTCAAAGTTTACAGTCCAAAAGCCTGACTCACTAAGGCACTGAACCAAAGAAAATAAAGACGGCAAGTGTGGATATTTTCTATGAAGTTTTATCCCTTGCCCTTCTTTCCTCCTCACTGAACACCTCAGTCTTAAGGAACTATTTTCAATTCCCCAAAACATGTTCTAGGACTCTGTGTCTGCGCCACACGTATTTGTGAAGTTATGCCCTGCAGGAAGACAGGGGTTTAAGTGGATCTGCAAAACAGCCAAGGAGTCAGGGAATTCCCTTTCCAAGTCAAAAAAAGGGGTGACAGACAGCAACTGGAAATTCGGGTCACTCTCACCCTAATACTGTGCTTTTGCAATGGTCTTAGCAAACAGCACACCAGGAGATTATATCCCGCGCCTGGCTCAGAGGGTCCTACGCCCATGGAGCCTCGCTCATTGCTAGCACAGCAGTCTGAGATCAAACTACAAGGCAGCAGTGAAGCTGGGGGAGGGGCACCCGCCATTGCCAAGGCTTCAGTAGGTAAACAAAGCGGCCCAGAAGCTCGAACTGGGTGGAGCCCACCACAGCTCAAGGAGGCCTGCCTGCCTCTGTAGACTCCACCTCTGGGGGTAGGGCATAGCCAAACAACAGGCAGCAGAAACCTCTGCAGACTTAAATGTCCCTGTCTGACAGCTTTGAAGAGAGTAGTGGATCTCCCAGCATGCAGCTGGAGATCTGAGAATGGACAGACTGCCTCCTCAAGTGGGTCCCTGACCCCCGAGTAGCCTAACTGGGAGGCACACCCCAGTAGGAGCAGACTGACACCTCACACGGCCAGGTACTCATCAGAGACAAAACTTCCAGAGGAACGATCAGGCAGCAACATTTGCTGTTCACCAATATCTGCTGTTCTGCAGCCTCTGCTGCTGATACCCAGGCAAACAGGGTCTGGACTAGACCTCCAGCGAACTCCAACAGACCTGCAGCTGAGGGTCCTGACTGTTAGAAGGAAAACTAACAAACAGAAAGGACATCCACACCAAAACCCCATCGGTATGTCACCATCGTCAAAGACCAAAGGTAGATAAAACCACAAAGATGGGGGAAAAACAGAGCAGAAAAGCTGGAAACTCTAAAAATCAGAGCACCTCTCCTCCTCCAAAGGAACGCAGCTCCTCACCAGCAACGGAACAAAGCTGGACAGAGAATGACTTTGACAAGTCGAGAGAAGAAGGCTTCAGACAATTGAACTACTCTGAGCTAAAGGAAGAAGTTCGAACCCACGGCAAAGAAGTGAAAAACCTTGAAAACAAATTAGACAAATGGCTAACTAGAATAATCAATGTAGAGAAGTCCTTAAAGGACCTGATGGAGCTGAAAACCATGGCACGAGAGCTACATGATGAATGCACAAGCCTCAGTAGCCGAGTCCATCAAGTGGAAGAAGGGGTTTCAGTGATGGAAGATCAAATGAGTGAAATGAAGCAAGAAGTTTAGAGAAAAAAGAATAAAAAGAAACAAACAAAGCCTCCAAGAAATATGGGACTATGTGAAAAGACCAAATCTACTTCTGATTGGTGTATCTGAAAGTGACAGTGAGAATGGAACCAAGTTGGAAAACACTCTGCAGGATATTATCCAGCAGAACTTCCCCAATCTAGCAAGGCAGGCCAACATTCAAATTCAGGAAATACAGAGAATGCCACAAAGATACTCCTCGAGAAGAGCAACTCCAAGACACATAATTGTCAGATTCACCAAAGTTGAAATGGAGGAAAAAATGTTAAGGGCAGCCAGAGAGAAAGGTCAGGTTACCCACAAAGGGAAGCCCATCAGACTAACAGCTGATCTCTCAGCAGAAACTCTACAAGCCAGAAGAGAGTGGGGGCCAATATTCAACATTCTTAAAGAATTTTCAACCCAGAATTTCATATCCAGCCAAATTAAGCTTCATAAGTGAAGGAGAAATAAAATACTTTACAGACAAGCAAATGCTGAGAGATTTTGTCACCACCAGGCCTGCCCTAAAAGAGCTCCTGAAGGAAGCACTAAACATGGAAAGAAACAACTGGTACCAGCCACTGCAAAAACATGCCAAATTGTGAAGACCACTGAGGCTAGGAAGAAACTGCATCAACTAAGCAAAATAACCAGCTGACATCATAATGACTGGATCAAATTCACACATAACAATATTAACCTTAAATGTAAATGGGCTAAATGCTCCAATTAAAAGACACAGACTGGCAAATTGGATAAAGAGTCAAGACCCATCAGTGTGCTGTATTCAGGAAACCCATCTCATGGGCAGAGACACACATAGGTCAAAATAAAGGGATGGAGGAAGATCTACCTAGCAAATGGAAAACAAAAAAAGGCAGGGGTTGCAATCCTAGTCTCTGATAAAACAGACTTTAAACCAACAAAGATCAAAAGAGACAAAGAAGGCCATTACATAATGGTAAAGGGATCAATTCAACAAGAAGAGCTAACTATCCTAAATATATATGCACCCAATACAGGAGCACCCAGATTCATAAAGCAAGTCCTTAGTGACCTACAAAGAGACTTAGACCCCCACACATCATAATAATGGGAGACTTTGACACCCCACTGTCAACATTAGATCAATAAGACAGAAAGTTAACAATGATATCCAGGAACTGAACTCAGCTCTGCACCAAGCGGACCTAATAGACATCTACAGAACTCTCCACCCCAAATCAATAGAATATACATTCTTTTCAGCACCACACCACACCTATTCCAAAACTGACCACATAGTTGGAAGTAAAGCACTCCTCAGCAAATGTAAAAGAACAGAAATTAAAACAAACTGTCTCTCAGACCACAGTGCAATCAAACTAGAACTCAGGATTAAGAAGCTCACTCAAAACTGCTCAACTACATGGAAACTGAACAACCTGCTCCTGAATGACTACTGGGTAAATAACAAAATGAAGGCAGCAATAAAGATGTTCTTTGAAACCAATGAGAACAAAGACACAACATACCAGAATCTCTGGGACACATTCAAAGTAGTATGTACAGGGAAATTTATAGCATCAAATGGCCACAAGAGAAAGCAGGAAAGATCTAAAATTGACACCCTAACATCACAATTAAAAGAACTAGAGAAGCAAGAGCAAACACATTCAAAAGCTAGCAGAAGGCAAGAAATAACTAAGATCAGAGCAGAACTGAAGGAAATGGAGAAAAAAAAAACCCTTCAAAAAATCCATGAATCCAGCAGCTGGTTTTTGAAAAGATCAACAAAATTGATAGACCACTAGCAAGACTAATAAAGAAAAAAAGAGAGAAGAATCAAATAGATGCAATAAAAAATGATAAAGGGGATATCACCACCAATCCCACAGAAATACAAACTACCATCAGAGAATACTATAAACACCTCTATGCAAACAAACTAGAAAATCTAGAAGAAATGGATAAATTCCTGGACACATACACCCTCCCAAGACTAAACCAGGAAGAAGTTGAATCTCTGAATAGACCAATAATAGGCTCTGAAATTGAGGCAATAATTAATAGCTTACCAACCAAAAAGAGTCCAGGACCAGATGGACTCACAGCCAAATTCTACCAGAGGTACAAGGAAGAACTGGTACCATTCCTTCTGAAACTATTCCAATCAATAGAAAGAGAGGGAATCCTCCCTAACTCATTTTATGAGGCCAGCATCATCCTGATAACAAAGCCTGGCAGAGACACACAAAAAAGAGAATTTTAGACCAATATCCTTGATGAACATCGATGCAAAAATCCTCAATAACATACTGGCAAAACGAATCCAGCAGCACATCAAAAAGCTTATCCACCATGATCAAGTGGGCTTCATCCCTGGGATGCAAGGCTGGTTCAACACATGCAAATCAATAAATGTAATCCAGCATATAAACAGAACCAATGACAAAAACCATACAATTGTCTCAATAGATGCAGAAAAGGCCTTTGACAAAATTCAACAACTCTTCATGCTAAAAACTCTCACTAAATTAGGTATTGATGGGACATATTTCAAAATAATAAGAGCTATCTATGACAAAACCACAGCCAATATCATACTGAATGGACAAAAACTGGAAGTGTTCCCTTTGAAAACTGGCACAAGACAGGGATGCCCTCTCTCACCACTCCTATTCAACATAGTGTTGGAAGTTCTGGCCAGGGCAATTAGGCAGGAGAAGGAAATAAAGGGTATTCAATTAGGAAAAGAGGAAGTCAAATTGTCCCTGCTTGCAGATGACATGATTGTATATCTAGAAAACCCCACTGTCTCACCCCAAAATCTCCTTAAGCTGATAGGCAACTTCAGCAAAGTCTCAGGATACAAAATCAATGTGCAAAAATCACAAGCATTCTTATACACCAATAACAGACAGAGAGCCAAATCATGAGTGAACTCCCATTCACAATTGCTTCAAAGAGAATAAAATACATAGGAATCCAACTTACAAGGGATGTGAAGGACCTCTTCAAGGAGAACTACAAAACACTGCTCAATGAAATAAAAGAGGATACAAACAAATGGAAGAACATTCCATGCTCATGGATAGGAAGAATCAATATTGTGAAAATGGCCATACTGCCCAAGGTAATTTATAGATTCAATGCCATCCCCATCAAGCTACCAATGACTTTCTTCACAGAATTGGAAAAAACTAAAGTTCATATGGAATCAAAAAAGAGCCCGCATCGCCAAGTCAATCCTAAGCCAAAAGAACAAAGCTGGAGGCATCACACTACCTGACTTCAAACTATACTACAAGGCTACAGTAACCAAAACAGAGATATAGATCAATGGAACAGAACAGAGCCCTCAGAAATAATGCCGCATATCTACAACTATCTGATCTCTGACAAACCTGACAAAAACAAGCAATGGGGAAAGGATTCCCTATTTAATAAATGGTGCTGGGAAAACTGGCTAGCCATATGTAGAAAGCTGAAACTGGACCCCTTTCTTAAACCTTATACAAAAATTAATTCAAGATGGATTGAAGACTTACATGTTAGACCTAAAACCATAAAAACCCTAGAAGAAAACCTAGGCAATACCATTCAGGACATAGGCATGGGCAAGGATTTCATGTCTGAAACACCAAAAGCAATGGCAACAAAAGCCAAAATTGACAAATGGGATCTAATTAAACTAAACAGCTTCTGCACAGCAAAAGAAACTACCATCAGAGTGAACAGGCAACCTATAGAATGGGAGAAAATTTTTGCAATCTACTCATCTGACAAAGGGCTAATATCCAGAATCTACAATGAACTCAAACAAATTTACAAGAAAAAAACAAACAACCCCATCAAAAGTGGGCAAAGGACATGAACAGACACTTCCCAAAAGAAGACATTTATGCAGCCAAAAGACACATGAAAAAATGCTCATCATCACTGGCCATCAGAGAAATGTAAATCAAAACCACAATGAGATACCATCTCACACCAGCTAGAATTGTGATCATTAAAAAATAAAATAAAATAAAATAAAGAATTGTGATCATTAAAAAGTCAGGAAACAACAGGTGCTAGAGAGGATGTGGAGAAATAGGAACACTTTTACACTGTTGGTGGGACTGTAAACTAGTTCAACCATTGTGGAAGTCAGTGTGGTGATTCCTCAGGGATCTAGAACTAGAAATACCATTTGACCCAGCCATCCCATTACTGGGTATATACCCAAAGGACTATAAATCATGCTGCTATAAAGACACATGCACACATATGTTTATTGTGGCACTATTCACAATAGCAAAGACTTGGAACCTAGCCTAATGTCCAACAATGATAGACTGGATTAAGAAAATGTGGCACATATACACCATGGAATCCTATGCAGCCATAAAAAAGGATGAGTTCATGTCCTTTGTAGGGACATGGATGAAGCTGGAAACCATCATTCTCAGCAAACCATCTCAGGGACAAAAAAACAAACACCACATATTCTCACTCATAGATGGGAATTGAGCAATGAGAACACATGGACACAAGAAGGGGAACATCACACACCGGGGCCTATTGTGGGGTTGGGGGAGTGGGGAGGGATAGCATTAGGAGATATACCTAATGTTAAATGACGAGTTAATGGGTGCAGCACACCAACATGGCACATGTATACATATGTAACAAACCTGCACATTGTGCACCTGTACCCTAAAACTTAAAGTATAATAAAAAAATATATATATGCATAATTAGATTAATGCAGACGAATATGCAGTTTCATTCCATGCTGTAATATATTCTATGCATTGTGCATACCTTTACATGCATTGTCAATATTTCTGAATGTCAACAAAATTATAATTTTGAAATTTAAAAAGATGCAATTGTTTGGAAAATCAGCAAAGTAGAAAAAAATGAGTTAAGAGACTTTGTTTCCACTGGAATTAACAGCAACCTGTGCACTCAATATCCTTATCTAATGACAGCTTTTGCAAAGTCTTGCCAAATGTATATAAAGGCTGAATATGGAAACATATAAAGATTGCATATAGGTTTAAACATTTAAAGCATAAATCTCTATTTACCGTGCTGTGTTATGAATAACCATACATTAATAAAAAATGCTCAAAGTAAAAAAACAAATTTAAAAAACCTTTACAAACAGAACCAGGGAAGGCCACGAAATGAGGGTTCTCCTGGCTAGGATGCCTGATAGTAAAAACTATCATGAAAGACTACAAAAACTACAACCTTGCACAAAGGCCATTGCAACCTCACACAAAAAAAAATACTTCTGCAAGGACATCTGCACAGCAACTGCTTGTCCAACCTTGAACTGGTGTCACCCTTGTTATTGGTCTCTGTAGCCAGGGATAATTATTTCAAAATGATTATGTATTCCTCATTTTTTCCTTTAAAAACCTTTATCAGCAGTGGCACATGCCTGTAATTCCAGCTACTAAGAAGGCTGACATGGGAGGATTACTTGAGCCTAGGAAGTCGAGGCCAGCTGGGGCAACATAGTGAGACCTTGTCTCTAAAAATAAAAAATTTTAAAAAAACATAAAAAATCTTTGTCTTCCTTTACCTCCCTGAATACGCACAGAGTTTACCATGGCACACATATTCACAAGGCGTTGCTCTATTTGCAAATAAACATATTTCTTAGAGAGCTCATTATTTAGGTTGACAACTACAAGAGATAGTTTCTGAGATGAGACAGAGGACAAGATAAGCAGAGGAGAAAAAGTCAAGAATCCTCTACCTGTCTATTTACATTACTAACAATTAAATAAATAATGATGAGAGAATGGCAGTGAGCCACAAGCTAAAAAGTCCTCAAGAAATCAGGCAGAGTGACCCAAGGTGTCCTTATGGACTACAGCAAGGGAGCAGGGATATAGGGTGATCTAAATTGACAACATGAGATTTATAACAGATTTTAAGGAGGAGAGAGAGAAAGGTCTAGAGGCAGAAGTGTTTTTTGGTTTGGGGGGTGTCACTCTGTTGCCCAGGCTGGAGTGCAGTGGCATGATCATAGCTCACTGCAACCTCCACCTCCTGAGTTCAACTAACTGATCCTCCCATCTCAGACTCTCAAGCAGCTGGGACTACAGGCATGCGCCACCATGTCCAGCTAATTTTTGTATTTTTAGTAAAGATGTGGTTTCAGTATGTTGCCCAGGCTGACCTCCAACTCCTGGGCTCAAGAGATCCACCCACCTTCACCTCCCAAAGTGCTGGGATTACAGGTGTGAGCCACTGTGCTGGCAGAAATTAAGGCAAAATAATTCACCCACCTCCAGGTCCAGCAGTACAAGAAGGATGAGAGAGAAAATGTCCATCTTTCAAGAGAGCTGCAAGGGAAGCAGTGTCTGGGGAAGAGCAAGGAAGTGAAGAGAAGATTCAGTGAAGAGTTGAGGTTTTGGGAGATTATGCTGACAATTGACCTTAAAATTCCAAAGGGCCAGTGAAATCCTTTAAGAGAAGTGCAAAGTCATGGAGGAGTCTTGGCATGAAAATGGCCAGGCAGTCCTGGGCTTCATGTGATAAGTGACATGATGAGAGTAGCCCTGTGGTCTCCAGGCAGCAGAGGAGGTAGAGAAGACATAAGTGACAGTGGTCTTTATAGGAGTCCGAAGAATTCTACAGCACTCTCTTGGCTTCTACTAATGGAGACTTCCAGGCCAGCAGGAGGTGATCCTACTCTTTTTGGTCATCTAACACAGATCTGACAAGCCCAATAGAGCTTTCCGTGATCATGGAAATGTTCTACATCTACACCGTCCAATATGGTTGCCACCCGCCATATGTGGATGGCACAAATCTAACCCCAACCATATCCCCAGCCTTTTTTGACCATTCTCTTCATTACTAACAGGAGTATCATTCCTTGTCTACTAAAGAAAATGTATGTCGACTTAAAAAGCACAGAATAGACTACGTAAAACAGACTAGAAAACCAAGGCAGTGGGCACCTTTGCACACAAATTGAAATCTACATTTCCAGATGATGATTAGAGGTGATAATTACAAATGGACACACATTATCATAAAGCTTGAGCTTAACAAAGTTCTAGACTAGATTATGAAGCTGATCCTGACACCTACTAAGGAATGCTCTCCAGAAGTCAGCATTGGCTCACTAAGAAAATGTCCCAGGACCTCTCTAGGGACCAATTTACAATCACTCAGTAAATGTTCTCTGCTAATGTTGAGAGTACAGTTTCTCCCCAACCATGAACACCTATCCCAGAAACAGCCTGGAGTACAGGGAGTCATAAGAGAGGAAGGTGACCTGCACCTGGGGAACTACTACTGGTAGAACAACATAAAAATGGGTTAGGAATAATTGAGTCACAAACACCAGATGGAAGAACTTCCTTTCTCATCACTGCATACATGGGACACCAGAGAGAGAAAGGAGAAAACAGAACTAGAGATTTCAAATGCTTTATTGAAAGAGAGAAAAACATCATTTTCCTCCTTTCCCAGTGTTTGTTTTTGACCCAGCAGTGGCCACTGCAGCACTGCATCCAGGAGGCTCACCATGCTAGATACTGGATCTAAGGAGTGCTTTTTAGCAGACAGAGAGGTAAAAGAGAAAACAAGGGTTAGAATTTGAGATCTCCTACCAATGAGCCACACAGGAAAAAGCAAGGTTTTCTTTTCTAATTCTTTAAGAAAACACATATTTTTCCTGTCTCTGGGGACCCATGGCTGTCTGGGGATGGTGTGTGTGTTGCCTCATCTGCCTTTCTATGTGGTGTCTCCCTGTGCAAAGCTCTGGTGATGGCTCGCTTGCTGGGGTTAACGCAATGTCTCCACCACTGACCCCAGGCAGACACAGCTTCATGAGTCAGTAAAGGCTAGCCTTCAGAGGCTATTAAGTCCCAGAGAGGGGAAGCCGAGAAACATGTCTCCTCTGCTTGATGGCAGTGTCATGTGCAGGATGTTTTCCTGGCTCCAAAGTTAACCATGCAGCTAATAAGCTGGATTCCAGTGAAAGGGAAGTCTGCGAGTCACTGATAGAAAACACTCTCTTCGTTGGTCACAGTGTTACACCCTTGAGAGAAAAGAAAGCAAATATTCCTATAATCTGCCTGCTGTAAAAAAGGCAATGATTAAATTTTTAGTGGTGTTTGGCGGCCAGTTCCTTTGCGAAATTTTCTCTTACCATAGTTAAAATCACGGCTACCATTTATTGAGTCCACCACTATGGACTAGGAACCAGGATAAGCACTTCAGACACACATTCTCCCATGATCCTCAAACCATCTTATGTTCTGGATACCATTTAAGTGACGAGCAAACAGACTCAGTCAAGGTTCCAGCTGTGACCTTACACACACTGGCAAATGATGGAGCCAGGTCAGTCTGATCCCAGAACCTCCTAATCATGATGATACTATCAGATAAACAATGTCCAAGTAAATGCAACAATCACCCACCCCAATCTGAGCAGTAATATTTGTGCTGAATGTTCTGTAATAAAATCTAATAAAAATTATCCTGCATGGTCTTCCACTTCTGCATACCACATTTAAAAAAAAAAAAAAAAAAGCTACTGTCTGACTTCCAGGTTTGATTCTCAACTCTTATGGAGTTCCTCTCCCCAGCACCCAAATTAATGATATTATTTGTATTAGTCACTAGGCTAATCTAGTGCTCTATAGGAAGTCATAATTGCTCTCAGCTGTTAAACAAATCTCTAGGCTTATATCAAGATCATTGCCAATTAATCCTTTAAAAGTCATTAAAAATAGGAAAAGCTCAGCCAGGTGCCATGGCTCACGTCTCTAATCCCAGCACTTTGGGAGGCCAAGGCAGGTGGATCATGAGGTCAGGAGATCCAGACCATCCCGGCTAACACGGTGAAATCCCGTCTCTACTAAAAATGCAAAAAATTAGCTGGGCATGGTGGCAGGCACCTGTAGTCCCAGCTACTCAGGAGGCTGAGGCAGGAGAATGACGCGAACCCAGGAGGCAGAGCTTGCAGTGAGATCGCACCACTGCACTCCAGCCTGAGTGACAGAGTGAGACTCTGTCTCAAAAAAAAAAAAAAAAAAAAAGGGGGAAAGTTCCAAAAGACCAAAGACAGGAAAATATTGAAACTGTGATAATGAAATTTCAGATCAATTTTGTGGTATCTAGTGGACAAGATGGAGAAATAACATATTAAATAACTGACATTAAATGCTTGACACTATGATAAACCTTCACTATAATTTATCTTAGCCCTCACTTCAAGGTAGATATTCCTCCACTTTACAGATGATGATAGTGAGGTTCAGAGAAGTTATTATACATAACTTTTCCAATGTTGCCCTACTAAGTGAAGAGCTTCAAAATTGGTGCTATGGACTGAACATTTGTGTCTCCCCAAAATTTGCATTTTGAAGCCTGAATCTCCAATGTTAGGGTCTTTGGAGATGAGGCCTTCAGGAAACAATTAGGCCATGAGGGTTGAGGTGTCATGATGAAATTAGTGCCCATATACACATACAAAGAGACATGAGAGAGCTTCCTCTCTTTCTGCTCTCAACCATGTGAGGGTAGAATAAGAAAATGGCCAACTGCAAGCCAGGAAGAGGATGTCACCAGACACCTGCCAGTGCCTTGACCTTGGACTACCCCAGCCTCCAGAACTACGAGAAATACATTTCTGTTATTTAAATCACCCAGTCCATGGTATTCTGTTATAGCAACCCAAACTGAATCAGATATGTGAGTAGCAACTATAGATTGAGTTGTGGGAAGAATCAGCTGGTTGAATCCAAAGTCAAAGAGTGTTGATTAGTAGATGGGTATTCATCTCAGAGCAAAATTTGTGATGGGGTGCTGGAGTATGCCGTCCTTGTCTTTCTTATTCATCTTCATGCTTATCAAAATTATGGGCACTAAAAATACCTCTAACTGGCAAATTCAAAATTACATCAGAGGATAAGTGAGCTGCAGTGAAATTAAACTGTTACATGTAGATTTACAAAGCCAATTACGTAGCTATCGTGTGGAAGAAAATTGGGCAAATAATGACTCATTTAAAATTTTCCTTTAAAAGCTAAAACAGTCTTAGGCTCCATTAGTAGATCCATCAGGGAGACTCTTATTCTGCATATGGAGTGTTGAGACTAAATCTTTGTGCTGCATTTTTTATTATACTTTAAGTTTTGGGATACATGTGCAGAACATGCAGGTTTTTTACATAAGTATACACATGCCATGGTGGTTTGCTGCACCCATCAACCCATCATCTACATTAGGTATTTCTCCTAATGCTATCCCTCTCCTAAACCCCTACCCATTGACAGGCCCCAGTGTGTGATGTTCCCCTCCCTGTGTCCATGTGTTCTCATTGTTCAACTCCCACTTACAAGTGAGAACATGCTGTGTTTGGGTTTCTGTTCCTGTGTTAGTTTGCTGAGAATGATGGTTTCCAGCTTCATCCATGTCCCTGCAAAGGACATGAACTCATCCTTTTTATGGCTGCATAGTATTCCATGGTACATATATGCCACATTTTCTCTACCCAGTCTATCATTGATGGGCATTTGGGTTGGTTCCAATTCTTTGCTATTGTGAACACTGCTGCAATAAACATACGTGTGCATGTGTCTTCATAGTAGAATGATTTATAACCCTTTGGGTATATACCCAGTAACGGGATTGCTGGGTCAAGTGTTATTTCTGGTTCTAAACCCTTGAGGAATCGCTACACTGTCTTCCACAATGGTTGAACTAATTTACACTCCCCACCAACAGTGTAAAAGCATTCCTGTTTCTCCACATCCTCTCCACCATCTGTTGTTTCCTGACTTTTTAATGATGACCATTCTAACTGGCATGAGATGGTATCTCATTGTGGTTTTGATTTGCATTTCTCTAATGACCACTGATGATGAGCTTTTTTTCATGTTTGTTGGCCACATGTCTTCTTTTGAGAAGTGTCTTCATATCCTTCATCCACTTTTTGATAGGGTTGTTTTTTTCTTGTAAATTTAAGTGCTTTGTAGATTCTGGATATTAGCCTTTTGTCAGATGGATAGATTGCAAAAAATTTCCCCCATTCTGTAGGTTGCCTGTTCACTCTGATGATAGTTTCTTTTGCTGTGCAGAAGCTCTTTAATTAGATCCCATTGTCAATTTTGGCTTTTGTTGCCATTGCTTTTGGTGCTTTAGTCATGAAGTCTTTGACCATGCCTATATCCTGAATGGCATTGCTTAGTTTTCTTCTAAGGTTTTTTATGGTTTTAGGTCTTACGTTTAAGTCTTTAATCCATCTTGAGTTAATTTTTGTATAAGGTGTAAGGAAGGGGTCCAGTTTTCATTTTCAGCATATGGCTAGCCAGTTTTCCCAATACCATTTATTAAGTAGGGAATCCTTTCCCCATTGGTTGTTTTTGTCAGGTTTGTCAAAGATCAGATGGTTGTAAATGTGTGGTGTTATTTCTGAGGACTCTATTCTGTTCCGTTGGTCTATATATCTGTTTTGGTACCAGTACCATGCTGTTTTGGTGACTGTAGCCTTGTAGTATAGTTTGAAGTCAGGTAGCATGATCCTCCAGCTTTTTTCCTTTTGCTTAGGATTGTCTTGGCTATACAGGCTCTTTTTTGGTTCCGTGTGAAATTTAAAGTAGTTTTTTTTCCAATTCTGTGAAGAAAGTCAGTGGTAGCTTGATGGGGATAGCATTGAATCTATAAATTACTTTGGACAGTATGGCCATTTTCATGATATTGATTCTTCTTCCTATCCATGAGCATGGAATGTTTTTCCATTTGTTTGGGTCTTCTTTTATTTCCTTGAGCAGTGGTTTGTAGTTCTCCTTGAAGAGGTCCTTCATATCCCTTGTAATTTGTATTCCTAGGTATTTTATTCTCTTTGTAGAAATTGTGAATGGGAGTTCACTCATGATTTGTCTGTTTGTCTGTTATTGGTGTATAGGAATGCTTGTGATTTTTGCACATTGATTTTGTATCCTGAGACTTTGCTGAAGTTACTTACAGCTTAAGGAGATTTTGAGCTGAGACAATGGGGTTTTCTAAATATGTAATCATGTTATCTGCAAACAGAGACAATTTGACTTCCTCTCTTCCTATTTGAATACCTTTAGTTCTTTCTCTTGCCTGATTGCCCTAGCCAGAACTTCCAATACTATATTGAACAAGAGTGGTGAGAAAGGGTATCCTTGTTTTCTGCCAGTTTTCAAAGGGAATGCTTCCAGCTTTTGCCCATTCAGTATGATATTGGCTGTGGGTGTGTCATAAATAGCTATTATTTTGAGATACATTCTATTGATATCTAGTAATTGAGAGTTCTTAGCATGAAGGTGTTGAATTTTATCAAAGGCCTCTTCTGCATCTATTGAGATAATCACCTGGTTTTTGACATTGGTTCTGTTTATGTGATGGATTACATTTATTGATTTGTGTATGTTGAACCAGCCTTGCATCCCAGGGATGAAGCCAACTTGATCATGGTGGATAAGCTTTTTGATGTGCTGCTGGATTCTGTTTGCCAGTATTTTACTGAGGATTTTCGCATTGATGTTCATCAGAAAGATTGGCCTGAAATTTTTTTTTTGTACCTCTGCCAGGTTGTGGTATCAGGATAATGCTGGCCTCATAAAATGAGTTAGGGAAGAGTCCCTCTTTCTCTATTGTTTGGAATAGTTTCAGAAGGAATGGTACCAGCTCCTCTTTGTATCTCTGGTAGAATTTGGCTGTGAATCCATCTGGTCCTGGGCTTTTTTTTTTTGGGGGGGGGGGGGTGTTAGGCTATTAATTACTGCCTCAATTTCAGAACTTGTTATTGGTCTATTCAGGGATTTGACTTCTTCCTGGTTTAGTCTTGGGAGGATGTATGTGTCCAGAAATTTTTCCAGTTCTTCTAGATTTTCTAGTTTATTTGCACAGAGGTGTTTATAGTATTCTCTGATGGTAGTTTGTATTTCTGTGGGATCAGCAGTGATATCCCCTTTATCATTTTTATTGTGTCTATTTGATTCTTCTCTTTTCCTCTTTATTAGTCTGGCTAGTGGTCTATTTTTGTTAATCTTTTCAAAAAAAAAAAAAAACAGCTCCCAGATCCGTTGATTTTTTTGAAGGGTTTTTCATGTCTCTATCTCCTTCAGTTCTGCTCTGATCTTAGTTATTTCTTGTCTTCTGCTAGCTTTTGAATTCATTTGCTCTTGCTTCTCTAGTTCTTTTAATTGTGATGTTAGGGTGTCAATTTTAGATCTTTCTCGCTTTCTCCTGTGGGCATTTAGTGCTATAAATTTCCCTCTGGACACTGCTTTATCTGTGTCCCAGAGATTCTGGTACATTGTGTCTGTGTTCTCATTGGTTTCAAAGAACTTATTTATTTTTGCCTTAATGTTATTTACCCAGTAGTCATTCAGGAGCAGGTTGTTCAGTTTCCATGTAGTTGTGCGGTTTTGAGTGAGTTTTGTAATCCTGAGTTCTAATTTGAATGTACTGTGGTTTGAGAAACTGTCTGTTATGATTTCTGTTATTTTGCATTTGCTGAGGAGTGTTTTACTTCCAATTATGTGGTCAATTTTAGAATAAGTGCGATGTGGTGCTAAGAAGAATGTATATTGTTGATTTGGGGTGGAGTGTTCAGTAGCTATCTATTAGGTCTGCTTGGTCCAGAACTGAGTTCAAGTCCTGAATATCCTTGTTAATTTTCTGACTTGTTGATCTACCTAATATTGACAATGGGGTGTCAAAATTTCCCACTATTATTGTGTGGGAGTCTAAATCTTTTTGTAGGTCTCTAAGAACTTGCTTTATGAATCTGGGTGCTAAGTGGGGTGTTAAAGTCTCCCACTCTTATTGTCTGGGAGTCTAAGTATTTTAGTAGGTCTCTAAGAACTTGCTTTATAAATCTGGGTGCTCCTGTATGGGGTGCATATATATTTAGGATAGTTAGCTCTTCTTGTTGCATTGATCCCTTTACCATTAGGTAATGCCCTTCTATGTCTTTTTAGATCTTTGTTGGTTTAAAGTCTGTTTTATCAGAGACTAGGATTGCAACCCTTGTTTTTTGCTTTCCATTTGCTTGGTAAATATTCCTCCATCACAACCAACTTGTGAGCTGGTTAACTTGGTAAAGGTTAAGGTAAACTTCCTATGCATGTCTTTGCACATGAGATGGATCTCCTGAATACAGCACACCAATGGGACTTGACTCTTTATCCAATTTGCCAGTCTGTGTCTTTTAATTGGGGCATTTAGCCCATTTACATTTAAGGTTAATATTGTTATGTGTGAATTCAATCATGTCATTATGATGCCAGCTGGTTATTTTGCGCATCCGTTAATGCAGTTTCTTCATAGTGTTGATGGTCTTTACAATTTGGTATGTTGTTGCAGTGGCTGGTACCAGTTTTTCCTTTCCATATTTAGTGCTTCCTCCAGGAGCTCTTTTAGGGCAGGCCTGGTGGTGACAAAATCTCTCAGCATTTGCTTGTCTGTAAAAAATGTTATTTCTCCTTCACTTATGAGCTTAGTTTGGCTGGAAATGAAATTCTGGGTTGAAAATTCTTTGAGAATTTTCAATATTGGCCCCCACTCTCTTCTGGCCTGTAGGGTTTCTGCAAAGAGATCTGCTATTAATCTGATGGGCTTCTTTTTGTGGGTAACCCGACCTTTCTCTTTGGCTGTCCTTAACATTTTTTCCTTCATTTCAACTTTGGTGAATCTGATGATTATGTGTCTTGGGGTTGCTCTTCTCAAGGAATATCTTTGTGGTGTTCTCTATATTTCCTGAATTTGAATGTTGGCCTGTCTTACTAGGTTGGGGAAGTTCTCCTGGATAATATCCTGAAGAGTATTTTCCAACTTGGTTCCATTCTTCCCGTCACTTCCCGGTACAACAATCAAACGTAGGTCTTTTCACATAGTCCCATATTTCTTGGAGGCTTTGTTTCATTTCTTTCTTTTTTCTCTAATCTAAGTTGATCTTCAATTTGATATCCTTTCTTCCACTTGATCAATTCAGCTATTGATACTTTTGTATGCTTCACCAGGTTCTCGTGCTGTGTTTTTCAGCTCCATCAGGTCATTTATGTTCTTCTCTAAACTGGTTATTCTAGTTAGCAATTCCTCTAACCTTTTTTCAAGGTTCTTAGCTTCCTTGCTTTGGGTTAGAACATGCTCCTTTAGCTCGGAGGAGTTTGTTATTACCCACCTTCTGAAGCCTACTTCTGTCAATTCGTCAAACTCATTCTCCATCCAGTTTTGTTCCCTTGCTGGTGAGACGTTGTGATCCTTTGGAGGAGAAGAGGCATCCTGGTTTTTGAATTTTCAGCCCTTTGGCGCTGGTTTTTCCTCATCTTTGTGGATCTACCTACCTTTGGTCTTTGATGTTGGTGACCTTCAGGTGGGGTTTCTGTGTGGGCATCCTTTTTGTTAATGTTGATGCTATTCCTTGCTGCTTGTTAGTTTTTCTTCTAACAGTCAGGCCCCTCTGCTGCAGGTCTGCTGGAGGTCCACTCCAGACCCTGTTTTCCTGGGTATCACCAGCGAAGGCTGCAGAACAGCAAAGATTGCTGCCTGCTCCTTCCTCTGGAAGCCTTGTCCCAGAGGGGCACCTGCCAGATGCCAGCCAGAGCTCTCCTGTATGAGGTGTCTGTTGACCCCTGCTGAGAGGTGTCTCCCAGTCAGGAGGCAGTGGGGTCAGGGACCCACTTGAGGAGGCAGTCTGTCCCTTAGCAGAGCTCGAACACTGTGCTGGGAGAGCCGCTGCTCTCTTCAGAGCCAGCAGGCATGAACGTTTAAGTCTGCTGAAGCTATGCCCACAGCTGCCCCTTCCCCCAGGTGCTCTGTCCCAGGGAGATGCGAGTTTTATCTATAAGCCCCTGACTGAGGCTGCTGTCTTTCTTTCAGAGATGCCCTCCCCAGAGAGGAGGAATCTAGAGAGGCAGTCTGGCTACAGTGGCTTTGCCAAGCTGCAGGGGGATCTGCCCAGTTGGAATCCCCTGCAGCTTTGTTTACACTGTGAGGGAAAAACCTCCTATTCAAGCCTCAGTAATGGTGGACGCCCCTCCCTGCACCAAACTCGAGCATCCCAGGTCAACTTCAGACTGCTATGCTGGCAGCAAGAATTTCAAGCCGGTGGATCTTAGCTTGCTGGGCTCCGTGGGAGTGGGATCCGCTGAGCTAGACCTCTTGGCTCCCTGGCTTCAGCCCCCTTTCCAGGGGAGTGAATGGTTCTGTCTTGCTGGCATTCTAGGCGCCACTGGGGTATGAAAAAAAACTTCTCCAGCTAGCTCAGTGTCTGCCCAAACATCCGCCCAGTTTTGTGCTTGAAAACCAGGGTCCTGGTGGTGTAGGTACCCGCGGGAATCTCCTGGTCTGCAGGTTGCAAAGACTGTGGGACAAGCGTAGTATCTGGGCTGGAATGCACTGTTCCTCATGGCACAGTCCCTCATGGCTTCCCTTGGCTAGGGGAGAGAGTTTCCCAACCCCTTGCACTTCTCGGGTGAGGCAACGCCCCACCCTGCCTCAGCTCACCCTCTGTGGGCTGCACCCATTATCTAACCAATCCCAATGAGATGAGCTGTGTACCTCAGTTGGAAATGCAGAAATCACCCGCCTTCTGCGTTGATCTCGCTGGGAGCTGCAGACCGGAGCTGTTCCTATTCAGCCATCATCTGTGCTGCATTTTAAGGAGATTCCCAGACTGAGAATTTTCTCAAGCAATGCAATCAGAATGTCAGAGACTGTGGAAATCATGCCATGTTTTGTTGAATGATCTGAATCTAGAACAAATGAGTCTGAAAAGGAAAAGATTCAGGAAGATAATGTATGCCATTAAATATATAAAATAGAGATGACTTGTATGAAAAACCAGAATAAAAAAGACCTGCTGGAAGTTGTTTGGGAGAATTTACTATCCTCTGATAGGTCAAAGTGGTGAAGTCCCCTTGACTGGCCTAGCCCAGTGAGTGAGTGAATGAACAAATGAATAAAATGTTAGAGCAGAAATTAAATGATCATCTCCCAAGGGATAGCGTCCAAAGATTCCTGAATTTGGATGAAAGGCTGGATTGTCTTGAGTACATCGTCCTAATATTGGCAGACTGTCCAGTTGCTAAGAATCATTCTCAGGGACTAGGCCTCCTTTCAGTGATTTTAAGGAACCCCATACCAATGCCAGCATCCTATTCTAAGGTATCTCTTCCTGGACCAGGTATGTTAGACCCTCACAGGCTGAGCATATCAAGGAAAGACCTTTCCTTACAATTCCCTATCTTCTACATTCCCTAGCCTAGTGTGTTGCATTAACCCCTCACTGAGGGGCAAGCTGGGGACTGACCAAAGGTCATGTATTTCAAGTGAAAGTTTAGGAAGCTACAAAGAGGTGGAAGCTAGGAAGTCCCTGCAGATGCAGGGGACGCACACCAAATAAATGGCTAGGCAACAATTCCCCAAGTCATACCGCACCCCAACCCAGAGGAAAACTTGGCATTGGAGAGAAGCTGTGGAGCAACAAAGCAGATATGCCATGTCCCAGGCAGTGTTCCAAATACATTATATATGTTAATTCATTTAAATCTCCCAATAACTTTGTGGGATATTACATCCTTTTTATAGACTAGGAAACTGAAGCCAAGGAAGAGCTGACAACTTCCCCAAGATCACACAGCGAATAATGGTGAAGCCAGGATTAGAACCCAAGCAATGCAATCCTGGGCTCCTAATTAAGCACTTTAGTGTTTACTGAGATGTGAATTTGTACCTCAATCCCTTCTGCTTAAGGTGACACTACTTAGAGGCAGCTTCTGATGCAGAGTATATACTATGTGATCAATAAACAATTATCAAATTCAATTAGTACTTTAAATCATTTGGAACTTGTTGACAGTGACCAGGGTATTCAGAACTGGAGATCTCCGGATGCTTCTTCATGTTCTAGTTTAATTCCTAGCATGAAACTTTCATGTCCTCCACATTCCACTTTGTCTTTGTGGTTTTTATTTTATTGGCATGTTGTTGTTATTTAGCCTGGGGCATAAAGTCATTTATTTGGTCTTAGGCAAACCAAAGATAAATGGTGAGACCAGGTTCCAGCTTCCTGTGGTGCCTCATTTGCTGAAGAAGAAAAAAAAACTTGTGAGCTGGTTAACTTGGTAAAGGTTAAGTTAAACTTCCTTTACCAAAAAGGACTTCCTTTACCATCTACTTGGTGATCAAGCCTTTCTTTGATATCTGAATTAACCCTCAAAATAGTAAATTTAAGAGTGTAGTTGAAAGCCTAAAATTAAGAAAATCTCAGTTTTTAAGGGTTCAGAGTTGAAGGGGCCTGAAAATTCCATCCCCACCCCTGCAGGCTTCGTCCAGCTGGGGCAGGGCCTGGGCTTTGACACAACATGGTTACAAGAGCCTCAGGAGAGCAGCCAACAGATGTCCTGGAGGAACAGGAGTGGACTTCACAGGAATCCACAAGGCCCTGGCCTTCACTCTCAGTCCAGCTGGCTCTCAGTTACAAAAGGCAAATTCCACCAGCTGAATGAATCCCAGCAGCTGTGGTAGCCTGGAGGCTCCATCCTGTACAATACATCAGGCAGCCAGCCAGTTCTGAGCCGACTACTTTCTGTGTGATGAATCAGCCCCGGCCCCCAAAAGAGAGGCAGTTCAACATGTATGAGGTCCCTAGACTGTACGTATCCCTTCCCACACTGCTTTAGGCACTGAGAATTCATCAGTGGGCAGGCCAGAAAACACCTCTGCTCTTGTAGAAGTTACCTTTTCAATCTACTCTAAGGAAACAATCAGAAATATACCCCCAAAATTGCATATAATATTATAATAGCAAAATATTGGAAACGATTTGAACAACCAACAGTGGTCCACTGACTAAATTCTAGTATATCTATTTGAAGTCACAGAACTAACTATATAACATGATTTTTAAAAATCATGTTATATAGGAATACCAAATGATTTAGAAATTTTTTCAATATATCAAATGGGAAAAAAAGATTACAAAGCAAAGAGTACACTATGTCTCCAAAGTTGTGAACAAAAAAAAAAATGCTTATATGCACATGAAAATAAACTGGAAAGATACACACCAAAACACTAACTATAGCTACTTTTGGATGGTGGGATTAGTGGTGATTTTATATTCTTCTATGTTCTACAAAACTCTCCTCTTGCCAAATTTCAACAATAAATACACATGTCAGTCAAGTTCCGACTAAGAAAACAGCACATACCAGGTAGCTCAATATTAGGAATTTAATATGGAGAACAAGTTACAAAGCTTTTATGAGAGGTAACAGGAAACAATGAGGTAACAGGAAGCAATAGGGCAGTCCAGCAATTAGCAGAATCAAGAAGCTAGTACCAAGAAGTGGGAGAGAAAAGAGAAGAGGTGATATTAACAGAGCTAGTAGTCTGAGCCACTCAGTGGTATGTGTGGCTTTTGGGAGAGAAAATATAGCTACTTTTGGAACATCACTTGAAGCAAAGACGGAGGGGAAGAAATACCCTTGTTCTTCAGTACAGCACTTCACACCCTGCAATCCCCTGCAGTGCTTCACACCCACTAAGCCTGGAGCCAGTGGGGAAGGGAGCTGGGAAGTGAAGTCTGCAGTGGAAGCCACCTGCAGTTCAGAACAGTCAAAGATAAGAGTGGGGATGGATCTGAGAGCAAACACACAGGTGACTGGCACATTAGTTCTAGAACCATAAGGGGAAAGAAAAAATTTGATGCTTTTTTTTTTAAGAGAACACAAAAGTAGGACACATTTCCAAATGTTGTCTTCCTTCTGCTTGTAATTCAAGAACTTAAGATGCAACAAAGTCCTTGTTGTTTGCAAGCCATACAGAGGCATGTACATTGTCAGAATACACATTGTCAGACACTGAAGGTATCAGGGAAAAAATCAATCTGGGTTTCCTTTCTTGTTTTTCAGATTCCCACCTTCACTTTGCCAGTCACCTCTCAGCTGAGAGCCCTCAGCTGCTCCAGGTTTCCAATGTGGTGCCTCCTTGGGCCAACTCTTTCCTTTCTCTCCTCCACCCAAAATTCCCAAGCAATCCCTACCTATGAGTCACACCATACAAGTCCCATTTGCTTCCAGAAAATAGATGTTACTTTGAGAGATTTAGTGTTGAGTTTAGGGAAAAGGTGTATTTAAAACAACAAATTAGCTACTTTAATCATCCCATAGGGCATGAGTTTAGAGGGCTACAAATCTTTCAATTAAATTTAAATAGTTTTTACCAAAAACTTGAAGTTCACCCAAAACTGCAATTGGAACTATGAAACATACAAAGAAAATTAAAACCAGCTTCTTTTTCACAAGGAACAGATAAGAGGCTTTCTGATTATTCAAGACAAAAGTTCTGGAGTCTTCCTCATAAACAGTCAGTAAACCCTTCTGGTTCAACCTTCAAGATATATACAAAGTCTAGCCACTGCTTATAATCTCCTCTAAAGCAACTCTCCCAAGCCACATCATTCAACACCTGAATTGTTGCAATGGCCTCCTCACTGGCTTCCGACCTTCCACACTTGTCCCCAACCTCCTCACTCCCCACAGTCAATCCTCAACATAGCAGCCAGAGCGATCCTTTAAACCATAAGAAAACCTACATCAGTCCTCTGCTCACAACCTTCCAATGGCCTCCCATCTCAGAATAAAAGTCAACATCCTTTAAGTGACCCACGAGGTCCTAAGTGTCCTGCAACTCCACCCAGCCATTACCTCTCAGCCCTCACTGCTCACTCACTCAGCTCCTCAGAGATGCCAGGCCTACTCCTGCCTTGGGATCTTGGCAGTTGCGGTTGCCTCTGCCTGGAATATTCTTCCTCCAAACATAGGCAGGACTTCCTCTCTTACCTCCTTCATATCTTTGCTCAAGTCTCACCTTCTCAGGGAGACCCTTCAATCCTCTCTTTCTCCCGTTTCTATTTTTCTGCCTAGGCCTTATCAACTTCTAATATGCTGCATAATTTACTCAGTTATTTTATTGCCTCTGCCCTCCCACCAGAATAGGTAAACTCAAGAGGTGGGGTTTTTGTCTGCTGTAAACACTAATGTATCTCCAGCATTTCAAAAAGGGGCTAGCTCCTAGTAGGTACTCAACCAGTATTTGCTGAATGGATGCATGCTGGCACGTGTCTGAATGACAACAGCACAAGGCAGAGGTTGGTGTGGCAGGTCAGTGTCCCGGGCCTGGCAGAATCAGGTGGGTGGTGGGTGGGAGCCTAGGGAGCACTTCCTCTCTCCCCATCTAAAGGAAGAAAACATTCTCCCTATGATGAATCCTCTCACTCAGCTGCTGAACCTTGTTCCCTCAGCCTCCCCAGGAAACCTTACTTTATCATCCTTCTTTCTTTATAGTAGC
Organism: Homo sapiens; assembly: GCF_000001405.40. Classification (NCBI taxonomy): domain Eukaryota; kingdom Metazoa; phylum Chordata; class Mammalia; order Primates; family Hominidae; genus Homo; species Homo sapiens. Next base: position 42,703,192 of record NC_000012.12, on the reverse strand, counting down.
CACGCTCTATTTTTTTGAGACAGAGTCCCACTCTGTCACTCAGGCTGGAGTGGCACAATCACAGCTCACTTCAGCCTCGACCTCCCAGACTCAATCGATCCCCCCACCTCAGCCTCCCAAGTAGCTGGGACTACAGACACATACTACCATAGCCTGCTAATGTTTTTAATTTTTTTGTAGAGATGGGCTCTCACTATGTTGCCCACTCAGGTAGGCTCTTTCCAGTGGTTCTTTTCCTTCACACTAAAAACTTGCTCATATGTCCCCAACTTACAGGAAAAGAAAGAAAAAACTCTCCTTGGATCCTACACCCTCTTCACCTATCCTTTGGACTTCCTCCTGTCACAAAGTCCTAGAAAAAGCTTGTTTCTCATTTTTTGGTTTTGTTCGTTTGTGTACTTATTAGCTCTACCTTTGCACCTCTCGTTTATTTCTCAACCCTCTGCAACCTGATGTCCATGCAGAGCAATCACTGGAATTGTGCTCATCTTTTTGTGGCCAAGTCCAATGAATATTTTTCACTCCTTCGCTTACTTGTCCTGTTTGTTTAATGTGTATCGAGTCTCCTTTCTGCATGAAACCACCCACTTAGTGCTTTTGCATCTCTAACTCCCCTGCACTCTTGAGTTCCTCCTGTCTCTCTGCACACCTCATATCCCCCAGCTCACACTTCAAGGATGGGTGCTCCCTGCACTTCTGTCCTTGGTTCTTATCTCTCCACATTACTCTCCCTTGCCAATTTCATCCATCCCCAGGGCCTCTATTATAATCCACATATTGATGATTCCCAAGCCTATCTTCACATTCCAGATCTCTCAGATTCATACCTGTATTCACTGCCTACTTGTATGAATCAAAAGCACCTCGCACTCCATATATTCAAATCTCATCACCTTTCCTCCTTTTGTTCCTCTAGCATTCATCTCTGCAAAGGGCCCTTCTGTCAGGTAAAACCAGATACTACAACTCACTCTTGATTCTTCCTTTTCTGTCAACCACCACCCAAATAATCCTGTCTAATTTTTTCATGTGTCACATATCCACGCCTTTGTCCCCAGACTCACTATTCCCCTAAACCCAGCTGCCAGCACTTCCTTACTATTTTCCGTGTCCAATACTACCCCTCCAACCTATTATCCGTCTGTGCCACAGTGATCTTTGCAAAGAACAACCCTGGCCAAGACCCTTACCTGGCTTCCCTTTGCTCAATATAAAAGCTTACTGGCTTTTATATTACCTCTCTATGCCCTTTTATATTACCTCTCTATGCCCTTGTACCCTTAACTCCCTCTTTCCCCCATCTTTACTTTTTGATGAATTGCTGGGACCCTGATGAACTACTTGCAGTTTCTCCACAGAACAGGCTTTCTGTTACATCTCTCTGGACAGGCCACCCCACCTGGTCCAGTGCATAACAGTTATGGGATCAGGCTCTGGAGTGAACAATTATGGGATCAGCCTAGATTGGCTCCACCAGCTTACTAGCTGTGTTATGTCGGGCAAATTAATTATCCTGTGCCTCAGTTTCCTTATCTGCAAAATGGAGGCTAGAATAACAGTATCTATACCATAGGGCTACATATAACATACTTAGAACAGTTCCTGATACATAACAAATACTCTATGCATAGTAATTATTATTATTAATACTTATTCATCGGACTATCTCTTATTTGCCCAAGCCTCTAGAAAGATTCTACTGACCCCTTAGGTCCAGATTAGGACTAATCCATACATTCTTCTATCCTAGCACATCTCATACTCCACTGTTTATATGTCTGTCCCTCCCTCCACCCCAAAAAACTATGACCCTGTGACGGCAGGAACTCTCTCTTACTAATCTTAGAATTCCCAGCACCAGTTCAATGCTTAACAAATAATGCATTCAGATTAAGTTTGTAGAATGAACAGATGAATGCATGGATAGTCATGGCATGTCATTAACGTTTGCTCAGGCATTTACAGGGCTCGAAACACCTTCACATATTTCTCTCATTTGTTCCTCACATCAATCCTATACAGTAGGCAAGACAGGTATGATTATTATCTTCATTTTCTTAAAGGGCATTCAAGTTTAACTATTGAAGTAACTTGCTAAAGATTATAAAGCTGATCAATGAAGAAGCCCACCCTGGGAGCAAGGTCTTCTAACTTCAAATTCTGCTCTTTCTTCTCTACAACAAACAGAATCACCACTGGAGAATTACAAGGTACACCTGGGATGCATAGAGCTATGAATGGCAAGCAAGAGAGTTTTGAATTTCAAACATGGCATCAGCCAGTGTACACACAGCAAAGAGAATGCCCCCAAAGAAAGGGAAAGATTAAATCTTAGAAATAGCTTCTGCATTCAAGGCCAGCGTGGACAACATAGCGAGACCCCATTCCTACAAAAAATTTAAAAATTAGCCAGGCATGTTGTCACATGCCTGTAGTCCTAGCTACTCGGGAGGCTGAGGTGGGAGAATCTCTTGAGCCAGGAATTAAAGGTTGCAGTGGGCTGTGGTCACACCACTGCACTACAGCCTGGGCAACAAAGTGAGACCCTGTCTCAAAATAAGAAATAGCTTCTCCAACCTCAGTGTTGAATCAAATCAATTTAGGTATTGTTTTCAGCAGCTAGTAAAAGAGGCCTGAATATAGTGTCTTCAATAAACAAAGAACATGTATCTCATTTGGCGGATCGCAAGGTCAGGAGATCAAGACCACCGTGGTTAACACGGTGAAACCCCATCTCTAGTAAAAATACAAAAAATTAGCCGGGCGTGGTGGCGGGCACCTGTAGTCCCAGCTACTTGGCAGGCTAAAGCAGGAGAATGGCGTGAACCTGGGAGGTGGAGCTTGCAGTGAGCCAAGATCGCTCCGTCTAAAAAAAAAAAAAAAAAGGTCAGAGTTACACAGCTTACAGGTGATGAGGAGGCACCACAGTTCCTGAGAGCCTGGCTCTATATTTCTACTGCACCACCTTATGTGTAGGAGGCAGAACTCAGATGGTCCCAAATTCCTGCCCCTGGTGTTCAGAATAGTCCCCTCCCTTCCATCACAGGCAGGACGGTGAATAAGATGGATCTTACCACCATGATTAGGTTACATTACATGACAAAGTTGAAGAGGCGTTGCAGATGTAATCAAAGACCAAAATCAGTTGACTTTAACTTAATTAAAAGGGAGAATATCCTGAGTGGGTCTGATAACCAGGTGAGCCCTTAAAAGGCACTGGGCTCATCCTAAAGAAATTACAAGGTAGCTTTTGAGCCTTTCTAAGAGAGATTCTCCAGTTGGCCTTTAAGAAGAAAGCAGCCATGTGGGAGGGGCCATGAGGCTAGGATGTGAGGGCAGCTCCAGGGAGCTGCGTGGACCCCCATCCAACAGCCCAGAAGAAAACAGGACCTCAGTTCCACCACTGCCAGGAACTGAATGCTGCCAAAATCTGAATGAGCTTGGAAAAGGGGCCCAAGCTCCAGATGAGAGCACAGCCCAGCTGATGCCTTGATTTCAGCCTCGCAAGACCTTGAACAGAGACTCCATCCTCAGACTCCAAATCCACAGAAACTGTAAGATGATAAATGTGTTGTTTTAAGCCACTAAATTTCTGGTAATTTCTTATATAGCAACAGAAAATTAATACACTATAGATACTATACACTAATACCCCATAGGCGCTGTGCCCTAATGCCCTATTAGGCCCTGTGCACTAATACCTTATAGGTGCTATACGCTAATGCACTATACTTCTATTACCAAGCACCTCATGGTGCAAGTCAGCTATGGAAATCCCACCATCTGCATGCCAGGTTACAGGAAAGAAGGGAAAAGGCTAAAAGGGAGCTGCTCTGCACTCAGTTATCTCCTACTTTTAAGCAGCCTCCTCTGCTTAAGTCCCCACAGAACTTCACTTAGTTCTCCTAAGCCAGACCTATGTGGCTAAATCTAACTTCCCAGGAGACTGGAAAGTACACTCTTTAGTGAGGCACTTTGTGACCCCCAATAATATAAGGAAGGGAGATGGGCCACCAGGGGGGCCACTCTCATAGAGACTGCAGCTCTGAGATGGCAGGGACTTACTTGCCCATGTCTTTGAGCTCTCTCACGGCCAGGTCTGGAATATTCTGACCCCTATACCATGTGCTCTGCATCGCCAGCAGACTTGTGGGAGACCAGAAGCACTGATCAATGGCCTGATGCCCCTTCCTCCACCTTCTCTACTGGAATCCTTCCCGATTGCCTTTCCTTCCTGTGACCCTAAGCACAAGTGCTAGTCACACCAGACCCATTGACACTATCCACTCTCTCCTTGGAAGGGAAAGCATCACTTGACCACTTTAGAGCAGAATTTTAACTGATTGGAGCTGAAAATAAAAACGACCAAGGTCTAAGGGTAAACTCTGGGGGTTGGGGAAAGGAAGTCATGATTCTATAGGAAAAAAAAAAAAAAAAACGTGATTTCGAGCTGTTGAATCCAAGAGATGGGAAGAGATTTTAGTAATGTCATGGAGGCAAACGGAACCAGATTGAGCAACCACTGGAAGATAGGGCACAGCTGAGAGCAGAGCTGACCTTAAGACAAAGTATGTATAGGACAAAGCAGTTCTGCTAACGGAGACTAGGAAATTGGGCACTAGAAGAACCTGAGGGGAAACTCAGCCCATCAGTCATGCTCAGCAGGAGCCAAGAGCCACTTAACTGGGCAGAGGCATTACAGATGCAGCTGGAAATTGTGCAATGATAAGGAAATGGGGAGTAAAAGAGTAGTTACGGGAGTTGTTCACAAATAGAAACGTGAACAATATCTTGGGTGCAATAAATACCAATTGCTTAATCACTCTGTGGGGTGAAACATTTTGCAATGGATATGAGTTATCATTGTTCCATCTATGCAGTTACAGAATAGCAATTCCCTCATCACTAATGAGAACTCTGGGTGAGTTTCCAGAAGACTTGATACATTTCCTGGTCTTTGATGACCTTGTAACACCAGATGTTCTTTTAACTCCAGGTATTCCCTTCAGAAAGTAAATTCCTTTCAAATTCCTTTCCACCAATGACAAACCATATATACAACAGTGCTCCTCGTAAGATTATACCACCATATTTTTACCATACCTTTTCTGTTTAGGTATGTTTACATGCAAAAATGCCATTGTGTTACAATTGCCTACAGTATTCAGTTCAGTAACATGCTGTACAGGTTTGTAGCCAAGAAGCAATAGGCTATACCATCTAGGTTTGTGTAAGTACATTCTATGATGTTCACACAATGACAAAATTGCCTAGTGATGCATTTCTCAGAATGTATCCCTCTCATTAAGCTACTCATGACTGTATGTGTGAAAGAATAAAATGACGCCACCTTTTCGTGAATCTGGTATGGTATGCTGCAATTTTCAAAAATTAAACGGCCCAACCACGCCTCCATGCACTATCTCTATAAAAGATTGTTGTAAGTGAACATCACTTCCTAACTACCAGTAACCAAATATTATACAGAACATAGAGTGGAATTGCAAAGACTGATAAAGTCAATACTTAATAAACATACGATCAGCTCCACACAATAAAAGCAAAAACTAAGAGAAAGGCAGCCAGGGAGTAGTTAGGAATACAGGTTCGGAAGTCAGAGAGCCTGGGTTTGATCTCAGTTCCGGTGCTTAGCAACCTAGTTCAGCAACTTGGATCATTATTTGACCTCACTAAACCCCAGTTTATCTATAAAACGGGATAATAGTAGTGCCTGCCCCATAAGGGCATTGTGTGCCTAGTAAATAAAATAAGGCATTCCAAGCCCAGCACAGCACCCGGTTCATAAATATTAGCTATTATTATTCAGAGGATTTTTTTTTTTGTTATGTCTCTGAAATCCTAACCTGTAATTCCAATCTGCTTACTTCCTTCCATCTAACTCCACAGGCTACAGCAATATCCAACAGCCCCCATATATTACTGAAATGGGAAGGCATCTTATAAATTGTAAATCCAGCCAAGGTTGTACAACCAAGGATGTATCAGACCCTCTGGGCACCCGTGGTGTTGAAAAAGTGTACCTAGTTAAGAACCACTGCCTTGCTCTGAATGTCTCACTTTACAGAGGAGCAAGCTGAGGAGGCCCAGTAGCATGAAGAATCTTCTGGGGTCACAAGACCATTTTCAGAATCTCCTCTTGACAGACCTGGCTCAGACCTCAAACTGGGAGCCAAGTGTCTTGACTCTGATTGCACAATTTTGGCACTCCCCCGGGTCGTCTTATGAAATTCAACGAGCATTTCCTGAGAAACCACAGTAGGGGTCAGGAAGGAAAACAAGATGGAAACCCCGCCAAGAATGGCATCGCGATCTCATCAGGGAAACAGGCATTGGCGGCGTTAAGAATTCTAAAAGAAGTGCCAACAAAGTGCTAAGAAGTCTGAAGTGTTGCCGCTAACTCACAAAACTTTCATGAAAGAGGTGGAATTTCTACTGGACTTAGAAGGCTAGGGATTGAAAGGAGCCATTCTGGGTAAAGTAAATCATTCAAGCAAAGGCCCCGAGGTTTCAAGAGAGAAAGCTCATGAGAGATCTTACAATCTTCTTGAACAGACAAGGAGATAAACCACAGAGCTGAAACATCTGGGTTCAGAAAAAGCCAATAGTCTGAAGTATCTTTTAGAGCTGCAAAGTGATAAAATTCTTCCACTGTCTCTTCCCAAATTATCCACAGAGCATCTGCTTTCTGCCTGCCTCTGGTTCTGAAAGACTGAATGCCAGAGAGAGGAGTTGCTAGAACAGTTCATGTGTGGGATCCCACTCTGAAGACATTAAGAATGGAGAGGCTCAATTCTCATTCCTTGTAGAAGTAGAAGCCAACAGGAATACAGCCAGCCCCTCTACTCAAAATCTAAGGAGATGATGTGGGAATGAAAATGACAATTCCCTTCATGATATTTGATCCTACATGAAAAAAGTATAAATTTCCAATAATTCTTAGTCTATTTTGCTCTGAAGTTTCAGTAAACAAATAACTACAGCTTGCCATCATGATTTAAAGCTATTGAAACAATAGAAATAATACTATTCAAATTTTCTTTACAACCTTACTAAAATGTTAAAAACAGGTTTGGTGTAGATAAATCCTCCCAACTTGTTCTGGTTAGCTATTGCTGTGTAACAAACCACTCCCAAACTTGATGGCATGAAACAATTATTTTATTATTCTCGTGGATTCTGGTTTTATCAGTAGAGGGTCTTTACAGCAAGTTGTCCAGGTTCTTAGCGTTCGGAACAAAGAATTGGACAAAACACAGCAAAGCAAGGAAGAATGAAGCAACCAAAGCAGAGATAGAAAAGTGAAAGAAATAGAAAGTGAAAGTGTGGGAGCAGGCCCCAGCAGCAGCTCAAGGGCCCCTGATACAGAATCTTCTCAGGGCCAAATACCTCCTAGAGGTTTCCCATTGGCCACTAGGCGTTCACCTCATGTAAATGAGGTGGTGGCCCACAATCAGTCTGATTGGTTGCGGAAAGCAACCAATCAGGGGCTGAAGTGAAGTTATAAAGGTCACACTCCCATGCAAACGTCTGATTGGTTGTGGGAAGCAACCAGTCAGAGGCTAAAGTGAAGTTACAAAGTGACACTCCTATGCAAATGTCTGATTGGTTGCAAAAAGCAAACCAATCAGAGGTACTTTCAATCTCCCATCTGCTGCAGAAAAGGTGGGGGTTTGCAAAGGGAGTAGCCTCTGCAACTACTTTTGTTACTTAAGCCTGGAAAGTTAGGGTTTTCCTTTCAATTCAGTTCTAGGAAGTCAGCGTGAAATGGCCTTAAGTTTCCTGCCTCTAGACCCTATTCTTCTGCCTCACTGGTAGGTTAGGAATTTGAAGGGGATACATCATAGATGTCATATCCCTGCTCCATGTTATCCGGGGCCTGAGCTGGGGACACTCAAAGTGTGAAAGCATCTCCATCCACTGTTGGGTGATGCTGGCTGTCAGCTAAGACTTCAGGTAGGCTGCCAGCCAACCTACACGTGGCCTCTCCTCCACATAAGTGGAACAGGGCTTCCTCACAGCACTGAGGCTGGGTTCTAAGCATGAGTATCCCAAGAAAGCAAAGACAGGAGAAAACGTCACCTAGGTCCAAAGGGAGGAAACAGACCTCCCAATGTGGGTACTGTCAAGATCACATTGCAAGAAGAGTGTGTGGGAGAAGAGAACACTGCAGTCTTCTTCAGAACATATAACCTGCCACACATCCCAAGTAGTATTCTATATCCACCTGCCTATGCCTGAAACTGACACCACCATAAAAGGAGCAACCTGTGATGATAAAGCATTCCCTCAGCAGGATTTATTAGTTTAGTTTAAAAAATTTCAAATAGCACTTTACACCTGGCAAATCCCCTTCAGGGTATTCACAATCTCCCTGTGTGGTTGTTATTCTCCCACTACTCTATAAATGAAAGGCCGGAAATTCAGAGAAGTTATATGAGTTCAGCAGACACCTTTGGGAAGTTAAGGATAGACTCACAATTTGAACTCAGAACTTCAGACTCTAAAGCCTATATTATTTTCACACTTCCTTTCAAGTGAAAATAGGTTTATCTAATAACAACCAATAAATACCAAATGAATTAACAAATGGATAAACACTAGACTCTGAAATTATTTTAGCAGAAATTCTAGCATTTATCAGAGTCCTGTGGAAATGGGACACTAACTAGGTTAGCTCTGATGAAACAAGAACATCTTTTTAGAGAGTGAGCCTGAAGAGATGCCTTGGTAGAAACCCTGAAAGCCAACGCCAACTAAGATGGGGAGGGACTCTGTCAATGCTGAAGTTAAAATTGTGGGTGCCCCCCAAACTTTGCCGCAAAAAGCCTGTGAGGGTGGGCATTTTTCTTTTTTTCCATTTTCAATAATAACGTAAAGATGCCACAGACAATTTAAATCATTCCCAATTGTGACATAGATAAACTCTTCTAAGAGGATTAAATATTCTTGGAACACTGAAATAGCTGGTTTTCACATTTAATTCTTGGAGTCATTTTTCCAACTGCAGCCTGTTAATTAAAGTATAGCTTGTCTAATCTAGAATATGAATGATTTCTTATCTTCTGTTCCCAGCACGACTCCCCAGTATTATTGTAGGAGACATCAGATTAAACTTGAGAAAAATAATCTGTATCATTTTCAGAATTAAAAATCTTGGAAATTAATTCTCTGAATATTAGTTCTACCTCAATGACATTGCCCAATGAAAAGAGAACGAATAATTTAAGATTTCACTATTACCTTTAAAATGTAGTTAGGAAGTAATAAACGAAGAAGTAAATTCTCAGTTCCGCAAATGTTCCAAGAATTGGCAGAGTAGGCATAACACTAAAAATCTTCAAGTTCTAAATAGATGTAAATCAATATGGAAGAATAAAGAATAACTTTTAGATTTCCAGACTACCACTATTTTTCCCTAAAACTTTTCTTTCAGTGTCCTTGCTTTGCCATTAAAAGTTCTCTAATGTTAAATGGGTTGAATAACCATCATTTATATCATTTCAGTATTTATAAATCTGTCCCAGATAGGTACTGGAGCACAGAGGCCAATTCATATTTCATATAATTCAACATATTCCTTTTTATTTCTCTAACAGAAAAATAGTAACTCCCAGGCTGTAATCTCCTTTTTAAAATGGGCCATTAATGATTTACAAGGGTGGTTTTTGTTTTTTGTTTTATATTTTTTTTAAAAGGAAGAGAAAACCTTTCATGAGTAGTCTTCCAGGCTGGCTTTTTCCAAGAACTAATATGAAAAAGGTATAAAATATGGTGAATAAGAAAAGCCCAAGCCCAACCTCTCCTCTTGGCATTCTGGTCCCTTTAAAATCTGTTCTTTACTTGCTTTTTCTATCACTTCTTTCCCACCACCCCCTATCCTTCCTTCTTCAGCTCAAGAGAATTCTTCTCCAAATCCTTTCTGGACCAATGTGTGAGTCATTCTCTTCTGCTTCTCCATTTATGAGACCGCTACTCCTCCTCCAAGGTCCAAATCAAACACTGTCCTTGGCTGAAACATCCTCTAATCCACCCAGGGGTTGATAATCACTCTAACCTCACCTAACAAATATAATACAACACTTATTTCATTCTGGTTTTTAAGTGAAATCAGGCTTATTAGGAAAGTAATAAAGAATGGCCACTCCATAGGCAGAGCAGCCTCTGGTTGAATTTTAAGTGGTCATTCTTTACACATCTGCATCCCTAAATGAGTTGCAAATTGCAAACTCCCTGAGGAAGGAAGCCCTGTATTGTTCCATGGTTATATCCTTTCACAATGCATAGAATAGCTTAAAGGAAGCTCTCAATTTTACTAAAAATAGCTGATATTTATTGATCACATACTACTTATCAGTCTTAGTTAAGCATTTAAAGCACTATTTCAATTAATTTTCACAAGAGCCATATGTATAAATATCATCTTTCACACTTTATAGAGGAGGAAATGAGATCACAGCATTTAAGGAGCTTTCCCGTCATGCAGTTAGAGACACTAGGATTTGAACCTGAGTATTTGGATTCCACAGCCTAAACCCCTACTCTCTACTTTCCACTTGATAGTTTAAATGAATTAATTTAATTTAAAGAAATTCAAGAATAGCATAGATTATTCATTAAAAATGAAGTTGTAGAATGGGCGGAAGAAGTAGTTCTGTTACCGGTAGAGGGTCTTGACTCCAAGTTGGCCAGGTTCTTGGCATTTTGAACAAAGAATTGGACAAAACACACAGCAAAGCAAGGAAAGAATGATACAACAAAAGCAGAGACTTATTGAAAGTGAAAGTACACTCCACAGTGTGGGAGCCGGCAGCGGCAGCAGCTCAAGGGCCTGGATATAGAATCTTCTCAGGTCCAAATACCCCCTAGAGATTTCCCATTGGCCACTTTGTGTTCACCTCATGTAAATGAAGCTGTGGCCCTCAGAGACTAAGGTGAAGTTACAAAGTTGAACGTCTATGCAAACAAAGACTTTGCTGGCGATCAGTCTGATTGGTTGCTATCTGCAACCAATCAGAGGCTGACGTTACAAAGTTACACTCCTATGCAAAAAGCAACCAATCAGAAGTACTTTCAATTTCCCATCTGCCATGCAGAAAACGTGGGGGTTTGCAAAGGGAGTAGCCCCTGGTCCTTTTGTTACTTAGATGTGCAAAGTTAGGGTTTTCCATTCAATTTAGTTCTAGGAAGTCAGTGTGAAATGGCCTTAGGTTCCCTGACTCCAGACCCTATTCTCCTGCCTCTCTTCCATTTGCTTATGTATTATTTTTGTTGTCTAAAACATAAATGAGGAGTCTCTGGAATTTCATCTTTCATAAGCCAACACCTCGATTTTCTTAAAACAGATTTTTTTTCTTATACATTAGTCAAAGTAAATTCATCTTCCCTTATATCATGACACCACCAGGAGTATTAGCAAAGCATAATAGCAATTGTCTTACTCAGATGTACAATCATAGAACATAAAAGATAAAACATTCTTCCTTTTAAATTCCTTATAACTCTCAAGTGATAAATAAGGGAGTAAATTTGGATCAAAAGAAGGGTTCAAGCTATATCTATACAGCCAAATCACTAAGTCATACGTCCAACAGGCTAATTATTATGTATTTTTTAAATATTTTACCATTCATATTGGCCAAATCAATGTAATTGATTCATAAATGCCAGCAATCCCTGTGTTGGGAATGATTTTTCCATTTATCTACTGATGCGCAAAGTCCTAGAACAAGAGATAAATTAAGAAACATTCAACTTTCTTGTCTCTCCAATCCCTTCTCAACATTGTTGCTGGCTTTCTGAGACACAACCTTAAGTGAAAAGAAGTGAACTTCGACCCATACCTTTCACCTTATCCATAAATTAACTCAAAATGGATCACAGACCTAAATGAAAAACCTAAACTATACACAGATTTCCAAAAGAAAATTTAGAAGAAAATATTTACAGCCTTGCTTAGGTGAAGATTTTAGAAAATATACCCAGAGGTTGTAGTGAGCCTGGGTGACAGAGTGAGACTCCATCTCAAAAAACAAACAAAAAAGAAAATATACCAAAAGCTGGACCACAAAAGAAAAAAGTATAAACTGGACTTATCAACATGAAAAGCTTCTACAAGACACTGTTGAGAGAATAAAAAGATAAACCACAGACTGGAAGGAAATATTTGTAAAATACATATAAGGGACTTGTATGCTGAATATATAAAGAACTCTCAAAACTCAACAATAAGGAAAAATAAAACTGGGCAATAGATTTCAACACACACTTCACCAACAAAGATATATGGATGGCAAAACACACACACACACACACACACACACACACACACACACACACGAAACGTTTTCAATATCACTAGTCATTTGGCCAAAAAAAAAAAAAAAGTAAAACCACAGTGAGATTATCATTTCATATCTATGAAAATGGCTCCATTTTTTTTAACTGACAATATCAAGTGCTGACAAGGATACAGAGTAACTGGAACTCTCATATGTTGCTAATAGGATTGGAAAAGGGTACAAGTACCTTTGGAAAACAGTTTGGCAGATTCTTACAAAGTTAAACATATACTCTCCAGTGACCCAGTAATTGTACTCCTAGACATTTACCCAAGGGGAATGAAAAAGTTATATTCGTAAAAAGCCTGTACCTGAATGTTCATAGCAGCTTTCTATTACCAAAAAGTGAAATTACCAAAAAGTGAAAGTAAACCAAATGTCCTTTGATTGTTGAATGGATTAAAAGCCTGTGGTATATCCATGCCATGGACTACCACTCGGTAATAGAACAGACTACTGGTATACATACTAAATGGATAAATCTTAAATATATTATGCTAAGTGAAAGAAGTCAGAATCAAAAAGCTATATGTGTTATTGTGTTCCTATGACATTTTAGAAAAGGCAATGCCACAGGAACAGAAAACAGATCACTGGTTGCCCGGGACAGAGGAGAGCTGACTTCAAAGGGAGAGCCTGGGGGACTCTTTTGGGATGGTGGAACTACTCTATATTTGTCTAAAGGGGTTGCAATATGACTTATGCATTTGTCAAAACTGGTAGGACTGTACACCAATGAAAGCAAATTTTACTGTCTTAATTTAGAAATAAAAAATTAAAAACAGATATGTCTTAATATCCCTCTGTGGCTTCCCATCACTGACAAAAAACTCAATTTGCTTTAGACTACCATTCAAAGCCCTTCCTGTTTTGGTCTTTCCCTGCCTCTCTAGTTCCTTCTCTTTCCTGTGCCTCAGACAGGCCACATCACTGTGGTTCCCTGAATACCCTGCATTGTGTCTCAGCCTTCTGCCAGCGTGTGGTCCTCCAGGAACACTGTGCCTACTGCCTCTACAGTTTCTCTCCCCCTGGGCCCCACCCTAAGCATGTGAAGCTCCAACCAGGCTGGATGTCTTGCAGTTCCCCCAAAATGTGCTAGATAGTTTCAAGCCTCCTGGCCTCTGTGCATCCTCAGTCTGGAATATTCTTTCTCCCATGTACTCTTTTTAATAAAAGCCCAGTAAACATTCACTTGTCTTAGAATTCTCTTCTAACATTACTTCTGACATTTTTCCTGAAGCCTCCCCATGAAGGAGCTTGTTCTCCCCTTGTAATCCAACCATTCCATGCAGAGACTTCTATTATAGCATTTGAAAACATTGCAGCCATGTGTTTTCATGTCTATCGTGACCTAAGGGAAGGGATCCTTCTTTTTCGTTTTGTATTACTGCTACCTACACCTAGCATATTTCTAGCACATGATAGGGGCTTGATAGATGTTTGATGAATGAATGATTAAAAACCTAACAAGCTAATGAGCTAATAAATCTCATCTGGACTAAAACTCTGAAGTGTCCTATAGAAGAATGCTCTACATCATTCCAGTTCTGAGCAGCCCACTTCCAGCACATACTGTCTACTTTCTTTGATGTTTGTAAACTAGTGTCGTAATTACCTATTTACTGTACATGGTTATGCAAATAGGTAATTATACTAGATTGTGAGTTCTTCCAGGGACTCACTAAACTCTAGATCCCTAGCACCCAGGAGACAATGCCCAACTCAAGTAGTTACTCAATAAACTTGTGTTAAGCCAGGCATGGTGGCTCCCAGCATTTTGGGAGGCCCAAGGAGGGAGGATGGCTTGAGGCCAGGAATTTGAGACCAGCCCAGGCAACATGGCAAGATCCTGTCTCTACACAAAAATAATAAATGAAAATAAACTTGTGTTAAACTGACTTTTCAGATGAGTAAATTCCATGCTTTTTTCCTCTCCTGAGCCCAGGGCCCAATTAGGCTGCAGTGATGCCAGTAATAAGAAGTGTGGGAAAAGAAGAAAAGTTATAAAGTTCTTAAAGAGAAAACTTTAAGACGGGCATGAATAATCAGAGTAGAAAGACATCAATAACCCAACAGTAATAAATGTAGGGAATTAGAAATGACCTTGAACCACATTTTCCTCTGGAAAAATAATCCCTCAAAGAAAGTGAGAGCAAAATGAACAACGGTAGGATAAGCAAAACTGCTTATACCAAAAGAATCCTTGGAAGATAACACATGAAGTGAGCAGACACAGTATCTCCTTTTTCCAAAGCCCAGAATTGGTTTCAGGTCTGCTGCTCGGCCCCATCTCCCCAGGCACGTCTGCATTGTCCCAGGAATGATTTAGAACCTGCAAGGGCAACATGATTTTACTAATGAAGGGGAATTCTTGGTTCAATTTGGCCATGATACATTCTGAATCCAAGTGCAATAGTACATATTCTTTGAATCTCAGAAAGAGTTTCTAAGAATTTGACCAAAACAAATATTTATGTTATAGAAGAAGACTTTGTGAATATTAAACTTTCCCAAATGAACCCTGCTGGAACAGCATTCATTGGCTGAACATTGCCTCCCCACACCCCACCCCCTGACCCCCACTTCTCTCTCTCTCTCACAAACACACACACACACACACACACTCACACAAACACAATTTCACTGCCTGTTGCCCATTTGGAGCTGATTAGTTCATCCCCCAACAGGTACTAAAACATTATGAGCTCAATGAGCCTGCTTACCGCATTGAGTAACCCCAGACTTGTATCTCAGCAAGCCCTGTGCTGAAATGTAAGTGCCAATTCCCTTGCTGCTTATCATAAAATTCCCATCAGTTACATGAATATTTTTAAACACTTAACTTTGATCAATCCTTTGGCTTTTTCCTGTGTATGCGTATCTGTGTACGCCTGTGTCTATGGTGATTCTTTTATTAGATGGGTCTTAAATGTGATAGGCAATAATGCAACAAATCTAAAATTTCTAAGTCTATGTTCAGGGTCAGGACTAGGATGAGACAAGAAAGGGGCTAAAGTGGCAAAATTCAAGAAGGCCCTCACTCTACTCTCAGGGTACCCAAAGCTTTTTCACTGCCAGTCCCACTCATCTGAGGCTCTGTAAAGTGACATGCTTTACTACTGTGCAAAAAACACACACGCGTCATCTAATCCTCTCACAAAAAATGCTGTGTCTCCTCTTCTCATAGCTGACTAATTCTCAACCTTCAAGTTCTAGCTCAGATGTCTCCTCCTTGGAGAGAATGTTCCTAAATACCTTCTTTAAAGGAGTATCCTCTCCTATAATTCATCATGGCACTCTTATAGTTCTTCTCCATGTTGGTCAAAATGTATAATTACTTCTTGTTTATTGTCAGTTTCCACAAGAATATTAGCACTGTTAGGGCAGAAACAATGAATGTCTTGTTTAACACCATTCCCCCATTGCCTAGCACAGTGCCTGGCACATAGTTAACACACAATAAAATAATGTTTGAATGAATGGAACTTTAATGGCTTTGGGATGATTCAAGTCCACTAGTGACATTTACTTGCCTTGAATTCTTAGATGAGTTACATAAATCCTGTATGGCCCACCTTTGAATGTTCTCACCTCAAAATGGAGATGTTCATTCATCCATTCATTCATTAAGTTGCTTGCAAGGTATCTGACATAAATCAAAGAGTAAATAAATGAATATTTATTTTCCCATTTGGAAGCATAAAAAGTTATATACTGTTCAAATTTACATGGCCAGTGTTCTGGTTTTTTAGGACTATATAACAAACCACCCCAAAATTTAATGGCTTAAAACAATTATTACTTCACTATGATTCACAGTTCTTGTGAGTCAGGAATTTGAGAAGGGCTCTGTTGGGTAGGTCTGGCTTGAGACTTCTCACCCAGTCAGATGGTGGCCAGAGCAGGAAAAAAAAAAAAATGGAGGTCTGGAGAAGCTAGGGGTAAGCCAGGGATTGATATATTTCTCCCTCCTCTCTCCTCTCTCTCTCTCCCCCTCTCTCAGCATGCTGTCGCAGTGCTTCTTTATATGATCTCTCTAGGTAGACCAACTGGACTTCTTCACAGCATGGTGCCCCAGGGCAGTCAGACGGCTTACCTGCCAAAACAGTGCTCCATTGCAAGTGTTCCAGCAAACAAGGCAGAAGTTGTATTGCCATGTATGACCTAGCATTGGAAATGCAGCTAAGTAGATATTTCAGGATCCTTCCTGCCCACATTCATTCTGGAAAACAAAGGCTTCTTTTCATTTTGCTCCGTCTGTCCTTTTCAGTTCAAGCTGACACAATTCCTTTAAAATTTTTTGTGAAATTTTTGTATATTAATTTGTAATCTACTCCATTAAATGAAAGTTAGACAAAACTCTTTAAAGTAAGCCTTCACTCCCTGTGAGGTTGCCTTCGAAAAATTCCCTTAAGTGTCTTAAAAGTCCTGGCACAGTGGCTTATGCCTATAAATCCCAGCACTTAGGGAGGCCAAGGTGGGAGGACGGCTGTAGCCCAGGAGTTTGACACTCACCTGGGCAACATATTGAAACCCTATCTCTACCAAAATACAAAAATTAGCTAGGCTTTGTGGCTTACACATGTGGTCCCAGCTACTTGGGAGGCTGAGGTGGGAGGATCCCTTGAGCATGGGATGTGGAGGTTACATCCCTTGAGCCAACAGCGAGCCACTGCACTCTAGCCTGGGAGAGACAGCAAAAACCTGTATCAAAAAAACCCTAAACAAAACAGTCTTAAGAAAAACAAAAACAAAAAATTTTAAAAATCCTGTTAACACAAAGGGTCTGCGATGCACACCCTTCAGATTCTTAGAACATTTTTGTCTGTTTGAAAGGATATGAGGCCCCACCTAACATCTTTGAGGTCTTAAAGGATTGTACAAGACCACCCCGGATTTGATCTCTGCCCTGAAAATAGTACTTGAGAGTTTTTGTTTTCTGGTAAAATAAGAAACATTTATTTTCAAAAACAGTCTTGACATCTTACTGTTTCCTCTATGTTTTTATTAAAAACTGAACAGTTGCATTTTTGGCTTATCTGTCTATTTGTGTCTTAGCATGATGTCTAAAAGAAACCAGTTGGCCTTTTCAACATTCTGCTTGCAAATTTTCTCAGACAGATCCATTAGTTCATTGGGTACGTTTTCTCTTTTCCATACTACTACAGGTGACAATTTGGCTAAACTTTCTACCACCACCTAACAAAGGCCTCCTTTCTTCTGGTTTTCAATAAAGTTTTCCTCACATTCCTTTAAACCTTTACAACAGATTCTTCAGGGCCCACCAGGCTTCTGCTGACAATATCTTCAAGGCTCTTCCAGCATATCTCCCTGATGCCCGACCCCAAATTGTTTTCATCTTTTGTTCTAGCAGCACCCCACTACAAAGTAACAGTCTGTTCCACTTTTCTGATATATATCAAATCTATCCAATACTTAAGGTCTTGAAACAAGAACAAACATTTTATTCTCTTGTTGTTTCTGTGGGTCAGGAGTCTGAGAAAGATTCTACGAGGGTGGGGTTCAGTGGCTCACTAATCCCAGCACTTTGGGAGGCCAAGGCAGGCAGATTACTTAAGGTCAGGAGTTCAAGAACAGCCTGGACAAAACAGTGAAACTGTGTCTACTAAAAATTAAAAAAAAAAAAAATCAGCCAGGCATGGTGATGCGTGCCTATAGTCCCAGCTACTCAGGAGGCTGAGGCAGGAGAATCAGTTGAACCCAGGAGTAGAGGTTGCAGTAAGCCAAGATGGCACCACTGCACTCCAACCTGGGCAATAGAACAAGACTCCATCTCAAAAAATAAAATAAAACAAATAAAATTTTTAAAAAAGGCTCTGGCTTAGGGTCTCTCGTGTGTTTGCTGTCAGATAGTGGCTGGAACAGTAGGTGGGTTGGAGCAGATGGGAGATGCTGGGCAGCTCTTTTATTCATGTATGCTCAGGGCTTCTCCATGTAGTGTCATTACATAGGCTACCTTGGGCTTTCTCACAGCATGGTGCTTGGAGCTCCAGCAAGGCAGTATTAGCATCACATTTTGTCTTCACTTTGGAATTCACACAGCATCACTTTCATCACACACTGTTGGGAAATATAGTGAAAACACCTGCCCAGTTTCAGGAGAAAGAATGCAAACCCACGCCTTTATAGGAGGAGTGTTTTTTTAAGTGCAGATTTATTTTCAACCCTCTATATCCAGTAAGTAGCCATTGAACTACTTGTTTTCTATTACATTAAAGGAAATAGAAAACTTCATTCACTCATTCAATTATTCATTTATTCATATTCCCTTAATCCTCTGTGTATATCCTGTTACTAGAATATCACATTGTTTTCAAATGACCTCTTTTTGTATGTGTCTCTTCCCTTAGACTGTCAGATTTCCCAATGTGGTTGGGAATTGTTTCATTCTTCTTTGTGTCTTCATTACTTAGTGTGAAAGCTGACTCATAATAGATGCTCAAATAATATATGCTGACTAAACAGATGAATAAGTAAATTGTACTTTTACTTTATTTACAAATGTTGAATTGGAATATTTCCTATTAAGTAATGAATCACCAAAAACTAAATTTACATTTCTATTCCCTGTTGCTAGAAAATTTTGTTCTTATTAAGTCAACAGCATAATCCATTTATATTGGCTTTGTTTTGTAAATGTGCATTTTCACACGTAGACCACAGAGAGGGTGTACCCTGCCTTAGAATCCAAACAACTGAAGCAAATGTAAAAAATACCTTCCAAAAAGCAGGCTGACCCAACCACAGCACAGGACGGATTGCCCAGCATGGGGAAAGGGACAAGAGAACAACCTTGTGAAAAAGCAGCAGCAGGAAGAAAAATATTTTGGCAGAGGTGCAGCCCTCATGAGGAAGAACAGCAAAGCTCTGCGACCCACCTCCAGGCTTCTGAGCTGAGGAAATAGTCCCAGGGCATAATAAATCTCTAAGTGCAAAAGTTAGATGAATACAAAGCTAAGGTAGTGTGAAAAGATGCCCAGCTCCAAGAGACTTGACTATTATGGATAAGGCAACAAGGCAGGGCACAGGGCTGGGCTCTTCCTCTGCGTAGGGGATTCAGGGGATAGAGAGATTGGTGGTTGGAGGAAGCACACTCATTCTGCATGTGCAGGGAGTGGGGGCTTGAGGAAATGTTAAAGAGGGGCTAAGGAAGAAAATAGCTGAAAGGCTAGGACTACGATTTTAGCAGAAAGGCACCAAACAGTAGGTTCCCTCTCTGTACCTCCACACCCTACCCCCAAATCTTGAATTCCTCCCAAGATGAGCATTGGTTCAGGACACTACCACATGTTTATTGTCACTGAACAGGAAAGATCTGGCTGATCTCCAGGCACTGCAGCCCCAAAGCTTGAAGGCTAAGTGTGTTTGTTATTGTTGTTGTTTAACTCTGTCACACAATTATCCATTAAGGCAGATGGATCCATTTTTCTAAACACCCATGAAACTGATTCCTTAGCACAGATCATTTATTTGCCTCTGAAGAATGGTATGAAACAACTATTTGGGGAATAACACACAAGAGAATATGTTTCCCAAACCTCTCATTAGTGGGGAGAGGACTTTTGTGTTTTGCCAGGGGTCATACAAATTCTGGGATGGGGTGGGTGGGATGGATGAGGGTTCTGAGAAACTGAGAAGAAGCCAGGATTGGACAGACACAAACATCTATAAAAGTTAAAGGGCATTTTTTCACAACAAATTGTTTGCTGACAATTGTTTTTCACTCTTGAGAAAACCATGTATGTTCTTCCTCTTCAAAAGTTACATGGAAATTATAATAAAACTATTGCATTTATAACATTCCTCTAGTAAAACTGAACCTTCTCTCAAAACTACCAAATACTGACCCCCTGAAAAATAATTCTATTGTCATAAGCATGACTGAGGTGACATCAGCAGAGCTCCCTACTCTACAGGATGGAGTTAACTAAAGGAATCATAATGACCTGAGTACTCACATCATTTGACTTCAGTCTCTGATCAAAATGGTGCCTAAATCAAGTTTCCTGTTTTTCCTCCCTGTTACACAATGATCCATTAGGACAGGCGGATCAATTGGACCAGCCATCCATGCAACCTCTGGTTCCTGAGATCAATCTGCTTATTTGCCCTGGTGAAAAATAGCATGAAGCAATGGTTTGAGAACAAAATTTTCAGTTCACTTACAAAAGTTGGCATCATGTAGATACAATGCCTGAGAGCCAGTTTGGAATTTCTGATTACCATACTATAAATCTTACCCAGTGAATAAAGAAAAAGTATCAAGTCTTTATCTGCCTTTAATGAGTGTTCCTTTATCTTAGTTCTCTCATATACCCTAGTCAATCAAAGAACCTAAAGGCATTAATACCAAGTGAATCATTTTATGCTCACATATGCAAGCAATGGATAGTTTTTTCCCCAAATTTTGGAGTAAGAAGCCTTTGAAACACTTCTAAACTGCACCATATATTTTGTCAAGATGTGCCAGACAACTAGAGATGGAGTTATTTTCTTGGCCAACACAAAATGGCATGTGATTCACCATACCTTTTCCTACAGCAACAAGCTGCAGGAAATAAAACAAGGTAGAAATTCTAAATGTACGAGAAAATAATGCTAGAACGCATCATATCTGGTAATTTCATAATTAAGAGTTTGAAAACAATAAAGTTTCAGTATTTTAAACCTTAAAAGAAATCGTAGTTTCAGCCCGGGCAAAATAGTGCAACTCTGTCTCTACAAAAAACACAAAACAAAAAAAAATTACCTGGGCATGGTGGTACATGCTTGTGGTCCCAGCTATTTGGGAGGCTGAAATAGGAAGATCGCTTGAGCCTAGGAGGTGGAGGTTGCAGTGAGCCAAGATGGTGCCACTGCACTCCAGCCTGGGTGACAGAGTGAGTCCCCACCTCAAAAAAGAAAAGAAATTCAAGTTTACAAGTAGAGTTTTATATTTTATGTCTTAATGTTTCCCACCAAGAATAATACTTAGAGAATTTTGTAAAGGTCTAGATTTCAAAACAATGAGACATTAGTCAAAATCAAAAAAGGAATAGCAAGGATGAGGTGAAAAGAGTACTTGAATGTATTTCTGGATGCACCGGACAGTGGCAAATCATTTTTGAAGATAGTTTATGAGTTTCATGATCCATAAAAGTATTTGTATTATTTGGCCCAGATTTTGCCATTTGGACTATCAACCCTAAGGAAACAATTTTGAAATATATGTTTATATTTTAATATAAACAAAATAAATTCAAAAAAGATGTTTTCCATAGATTATAGCAATAAGAATTGGAAATAATTTAAGTGGCCCCAAATTAAGGCAATTATATAATTTGGGGTCCAGCCAACAATATGATAATGGTTAAACTATGGTACCATTAGGGCAATATAAGCAAAGGCACAGTTTTTTTTGGTAATTTCCCAACTTACTGTAAGTGGTTATGATAGTTACATTTTTAAAATAATTTTTTAAGTCCTAGAAACCCTACCAATGCACTTGAGTGTTATGAGCACTTGAACACTGAGGTAGTTTTATAAACTCTGCTCTGAGGAACAGGACTGGGGAAGGAAAGAGTAAAGATTGCTGCTTTTAATACAGTGTGATTTTAGACCATTTAACAAAAACTTAATATAAAGAAAATGACAATTACTGCGGTAAGTATGGAGGACAGAGACTATAAGCAAAGGAAACATGTTACCAGATTGTGTTTTAGGAATAACCCTCTGGTCAAGTCTGGAGAGTGGATTAGAAGGAACTAAGGAGAAGATAGTTCATTGGAGTTAGAATGCTTTAACGATTATTTTTACATTTGTGTTGCACTTTATAAACTACAGTATTCTTTCACTCCATGATCTAATCTAAATCCTTTCCATTTAAAAAAAGCAACAATTCAACATCAGGTTTCAGGAGAAATCAGCATGTAAATTAGGCATTATGCAAAGAAAAACAAAAACTTAAAATCTACGATGAAAATACGTCAGAGTCCACAGCTGCCAGGAAGCTCTAAGACAATGTTTTATTCCAGGATCTGCCATTGAGCTGTATTTTAAGTGTATCTGTTTTGTCTTCCTTCCTCAAGGTCTTTTGATATTTTATTCTTTTTTACTTCTTTTTAAAAAAAGGGTTTCCCTCTGTCGCCCAAGCTGGAGTGCAGTGGTATGGTCTCAGCTCACTGTAGCCTCGACTTCCTGGGCTCAGGTGATCCTCACACCCTCAGTATCAGCCTCCCAGGTAGCTGGGACTACAGGCACACACCACCACGGCTGGATAATTTTTGTATTTTTTGCAGAGCTAGGTTTTCGTCTTGTTGTCCAGGCTGATCTCAAACTCCTGGGCTCAAACGATCCTCCCACTTCAGCCTCCCAAAGTGCTGAGATTACAGGCATAAGCCACCATGCCCAGCCTGATATTTTATTCTTACTGAAACAAACTTACCGTTATAACCAATGTCAGTTAGATGTCCCACCTTTATCTTCAAGTCACTCATACCCCAACCCCCAACCCCACTCCTTGCCCCAAAGAACAAATGGTTGATCATGGCTTGGATAAGTTTGTTCTCTATTCCCCGGGACCTTTTTACTCCTCTCCCATTTACCACTCTGGCTACAGAGAAAGAAGAGGCAGCACTGTCTCATCCAGGATGTTCCTGCTACTCGAGCTCCACCCACCCACCTACCTGCCTCCCACCCACCCATCTGCCTCCTACTGAGGGAGGGGAAGCAGTAGTTATGGCCCTGAGCCCTCAAGTCAGGCCTGTGCAGAGTACTTCACATGCTTGCTTTCCACGATGCTCCCTGCAGCCTTATAAAGCAGGTACTGTTATTCTCTCTACTGAGCTGCAAAGAAAATAAAGCTTAGAGAAAGAGAGTCCTGCTAAGGCCACACAGGTAGTTAGTAGCAAAGCTAAGGTTCAAACCCATGGTGTATAACCCTAAAAGTTTGTGCTTATACATTACAGTAAATACGACATTATTCTTGGGTGGTCTTCCCAGCCCACACATCCTTCAACCCTTTAGCTCTTACTTGAGTTTAAGTAGAGAAGGGGTGTTTGTGAAGCAACGGAATGCTCACAGTTCATGGAGCTTCTGCTTCTCGTTAAATCCGGGATAATACATTCATCTTATCATAGCAGTTGCTGAAATACACTTAAAAGACTAACTCAATTCAGGGGTTTTAATGAGTGTGTAAAGACAGGCATATTCCTGAAATTCTACTACATAAAGCATCTGAGTCAGATTATACCAGAGCACATGCTGGGCTATTTTTAGGAGGGCTGTATATAGGACATAGTTTTCTGGTTATGTCACAAGCTTGCAGGTGGGCCTTCTCTTCACATTTTAGATAAAAATAGATACATAGATATAAAGATAAATACAATACAGTTTCTGCCCTTGAAGAGTTCCAAGACTAGTTACAGGGACAGAAAAGGTAAAAATGAAGCATGAGAATGTGAAATTTGGCATAACAGAGGTAGAGGAGCAGAGAGAGCAGGAATTTAAGCACCTTAGAAGCCTCTGCTTCATCTGTGCAACACATTTTATTACATGCCAAGCACCGGTGAAGACAATTATGCACAAAAATCAACACTGTCTCGGCTGTTAGGACTCCACTTTCTCAGGTGGGGAAATCAGACCTCGTCAAATGCCAGCACAAAAGCAGAGTTCCACTTTCCAGCGGTGACGACCTACCCACACAAGAACATGCCTCTCGCAAAGGATCTCCTTCATCCCTCCCCAGAAGAGGAGAAGAGGAAACACAAGAAGAAATGCCTGGTGCAGAGCCCCAATTCCTACTTCATGGATGTGAAATGCCCAGGATGCTATAAAATCACCACGGTCTTTAGCCATGCACAAATGGTAGTTTTGTGTGTTGACTGCTCCACTGTCCTCTGACAGCCTACAGGAGGAAAAGCAAGGCTTACAGAAGGATGTTCCTTCAGGAGGAAGCAGCACTAAAAGCACTCTGAATCAAGATGAGTGGGAAACTCAATAAACACATTTTGGATTAAAAAAAAAAAAAAAAAAGCAGAGTTCTACACCAAGGGAAGTATGCCCAAGGAAAGCAATGCTGTCTGCAGAAGACACACAACAAAAGGACTTGCCTTGGACAGGAGCTGGGATGAGTGTAATCGTGGTGGCCCTCCTCTGAGGAAGTGACTCTTGAGCTGAGAGGTGAGGACAGAGGAGGCATTAACTCAAGCAAAGGAATGGGGCTGAGAGCATTCTAGACAGGCAATCACGTGTGCCAAATACCGGGGATGAGAAAAGCAGAGCCTTTCCAAAACACCGGAAGGAAGTCATGTGACAAGAGTGCAGCAAGCCAGGGGAAGGGGCACAAAAGGATGGGCAGGGCAGGAAGACACCCAGGAGCCAGGGATGGTGTTGAGGATTACAGGTGGCAGAGATATAATGACACAAGACTCTTCACCTCTTCTCCATGTACCACGTAGGTACCATGTCCCCTAGGTAGCCACCTTTCCACAGCCTTGCACCATGACAAAAGTAGCACAGAACCACTACAAATGTTCAGACAGGTCATGTAACCTCTTAGATTCTTCACTTATTACAAATCAACATTTTGGGCCAGGGATATGTTTTAAAATCCTTTCAGTTAGGTGAAATATGTTAACATCAACAGTTTTCAGATTCTTCCCCCTACTAAAAGGTTGGTAGTAAACGTTTCTACTGATTGAAAAAAATGGCTTTACTGATTGATAAATGGTACTGGGCTTTCTGTCCAAACATTAAATGAATTCTAACATAATCATAGCACCACCTGCATTCATTTGAAAAATGATAATCCACATATGTGTCCCAGATATAAGCATTTTTTTATCTGCAGAATGATGTTTGTGACACATATGAATTTAGGGACCACTTGTAAAAATGATATGGCCCATAACTTGGAAACCGCAAGGCTAGATAAACTCTAAGGTCCCTTTCAGTACTGAAATTCTGATTCTATCATAATTTTCAGTAAGAATCATTTTTATCCTTATATATAATGGAGCAAAAGACAGAAAAAACTTTGGCTAAAACTGCAACTAAAATCTTTCGGAACACAAAGCCAATTAGGAAAATCTGCTTAAGTTGACCATGATTTACTGTGATTCTAAACATGTGCACTCTGCAGCTGATTAACAATTCTCTTTAATGTGTTTTTAAGCTTCTTGAACCTCTTAACCTCAGCTGTTCTGAATCTTGATGTCATCAGCCTTGATCTTCCTACATCCACATGTTCTCTGTGGGCTTGGCTTTCACACAAGCCCATCCTATATAATCACCCCAACAGACCCAGGCTGATGTCCTCTAGCACTGCAATTTCAGGAAAAAAAATTAGCTTTACGTTTCCAACACTTCATTAAAAAAAAAATCCAGAAATGAGTCTCCCAGACCTGGATTACACCTTGTGCTCATCCCTGAACCAATTGCTGTGGCCTAGAAGATGGAAATCACAGATTGGCCAAGCCAAGTGTCACTATCCATACACTTGAGAGTAGGGAAATGAGGGAGGTTTCAAAGGAAAAACCAAGGTGACAGGATATGGATATCCCATAGACCAAAGCAACATTTTTAATGACCTTCTGGACTTTTTTTTTCTATTGCAAATGACAGAAACCCAATTTATGTGGTTTTAGCAAAAAAGAGTCTTAATTGGCTCACATAACTGAGAACTCCAACAGTAGTTTGGCTTCCGGCGTAGCTAGATTCAGGGATTCAAATAACTGAACTCCCTCTTCTTCTCCCTCTCCATCTCTCTCCTTATCCTGATTTCTTTAGTCTTGACTTCATCTTCAGGAATGGTTTCTCCAAATGGAAGACTGTGTAGTCCCCAGCAGCCCTAATGGACATAATTTTAGCTTCTGAACTTTCCAAAGAAGAGTGGCCTTCTTTTCCCTCCATCTCAAGCTTCAAAGGACTCAGAATAGCCCCCTGGGGCCACATGTCCAGACAGCCACAAGTCACCCCAACCAGAGCATGAGCTACTCTCATTGAAAAGCCTAGAGCCCATACCTGGGGCTGGGAAAGTAGGGCCTCAAATTAGACCTACAAAATATAAAAGAAAAAAAGTTCCTTAAAAGTAAAGTCAGATGCTCCACCAAAAAAAAAAAAAAAAGAGAGAGAGACATTGGGGGATAGGAAGGCAAAAGCAATAGGTGTCTATTATGGTCCTCGTGCTAACATTCAGCTCCATACATCACCATGTCTGTCACCCAGCATTTGAGCTTCTGACCCTGTTGTTTTGCTCTCTCCCTTCTGGCTGAGCACACTCCTGGAAAACTCTTGGTGGTAATTCTCTTGCTTTAGCTCAACCTCAAGACCCTTCTTTTCCATACTCTAACCTGGTAGAAAGTCTCTATTTCAGTATGTATTGGTCATTTGGGCAGGATTTGCAAGTAAGAAGCCGGGGTTCAGGTGTGCTGACTCAGGCAGGTGGAGCTGGTGCTAGCAGACTCAGGCAGGTGGAGCTGGTGATGAGGGCTCAGGAGGAAGAGAAGAATTCATTGTATGTGAATGAGGACAACTTTACAAATAAAGATAATAGAAAGTACAATAAATGGCATTAACGCCAATGAAGAATGAAATTATTTTAGAGCAGTAATATCTCCCTATTACTAAGGGAGATACTACTATTTTTAATGAACAAAAAGGAAAGAATAAAGTGTTATGAAGGGACAGGAAGAAAAGTCTATG
The DNA here is from genome assembly GCF_000001405.40 of Homo sapiens. Lineage (NCBI taxonomy): Eukaryota > Metazoa > Chordata > Mammalia > Primates > Hominidae > Homo > Homo sapiens. Next base: position 42,676,130 of record NC_000012.12, on the reverse strand, counting down.
GCAGTATTTCTCAAAGTATGGTCCCTGGACTATAGCAGCATGTATTAGCCCATTCTCAAGCTGCTATGAAGAAATGCCCAAGACTGAGTAATTTATAAAGAAGAAAGGTTTAATTGACTCACAGTTCTGCATGGCTGGGGAGGCCTCAGGAAACTTACAATCACAGTAGAAGGCAGGGCAGCAAGAGAGAGAATGAATGCGGGCAGGAGAAATGCCAGACGCTTATAAAACCATCAGATCTCGTGAGAACTCTATCACGAGAACGGCGTGAGGGAAAACCGCCCCATGATTCAATTACCTCCCGCCAGGTCCCTCATGACACGTGGGGATTATGGGGATTACCATTCAAGATGAGATTTGGGTGGGGACACAGCCAAACTATATCACAGCATCACCTGGGAGTTTCTTTAAAATGCAACTCTGAACTTGTCAGAAGCCTGAGGATAGACTCCTTCAGGTAAATCTGATGCATGACAGTTTATAGACCTTTTACTTTAAAGGATGATCGGTCCTTCCTCTCTGGAGATCCATTTCTCGTTTTAAAACAAGGTGCTGATATTCATCTTTCACAATTTGTAAAATGCCCCCTTTCTAGTCTCTTCTTTCAATTCCTTCTTCCTTATTTTCTGCAATTTCATTTTCTAGTCCATGAGCATAACACAAACTGTCAAGTTTAGGTCGATGAACATAGCTAAAGACAAATAGGGAAAAGATAAAAGAACGGCTCACCATTTCTCAGTGTATATTAGCAAAGAGGAATTACTTGAATCAACCAAACTTTGGCTTTGAACTTTCTGCTCACAAAGATGGACTAGTCATTTTCTGAGCAGACATGCAGTGGAAAGGGAGCTTGCATCTTCTCTGTTGTACACCAGCTTATACATACACTGTAGAAAGCAAATACTAAAGTTTTTCATCTTAAGGAATAATTTTTTTTTCTTTTTTCTTTCTTTTTTTTTTTTTTTTTTTTTTTGAGACAGACTCTCACTCTGTTGCCCAGGCTGGAGTGCAGTGGCATGATCTCAGCTCACTGCAACCTCCACCTCCCTGGTTCAAGCAATTCCCCTGACTCAGCCTCCTGAGTAGCTGGGATTACAGGCACCCGCCACCACACCCAGCTAATTTTTTTGCATTTTTAGTAGAGACGGGGTTTCACTATGTTGGTCAGGCTGGTCTCGAACTCCTGGCCTCATGATCCACCCACGTCGGCCTCCCAAAGTGCTGGGATTACAGGTGTGAGCCACGGTGCCCAGCTAAGAAATAATATTTTAAAAAATTTTTACAAATATTATACCAATGTTATAACCTGGGAAATGTGCAGACATATTCAGTGTGAATGAAAAAGGAAGCAGTTACAGGACACAGATCAAATAGAGAAATAACAATGAACACTTTCACGGTATTTACATGCCAGGCCCTGTTCTAAGTGTTTGACATATATGAGCTTATTCAATGCTCATAATAGCCTTATAACTTGCATACTGCTAGCAGGCCCATTTGAAAGATTAAGATGAAGCACAAAGAGGCACTTACAAAGACCACACAGTCTGAACTTGAAAACGGGCAGTGGAGCCCAAGAACCAGTGAATGCCCTTGACCACCTTTCTTCTTAATTTCTGGTCCCAACCACTCTTCCAGTCTACCTCGAAGCAGAATTCAGTGATATTACTGTAATTTTAAGCAGATCAAGGGCAGCCAGGAGCAGGATGGGAAGAGGCAGAGATGTTGAAGGAAACATGGAGACGGGAAGAATGAAGCTGGACAACCGGGCATAGAGTAGCAGCACCAAAAGAAAAGGACAAGAAGTCAAGGAAGGGGAAGCTGGAAATGGGTTGATGGAGTTCATGGGCAAGGGTGAAAAGCAAGGAGGTTGAGAGAGAGTGAAGAGATCATGATGTTGCTCTGGAGAGGCTGAGGATGAGTTCAGATGATGAAGGGGTGGGAAGCTGCAGGAAGAGGGGACACAGACAGCTAAGGAGACCAGAGACTCAGGGGAAGGCATGAGGGAGCCAGTCTGGGAAGTAGAGCCAAGAAGAGATGCGTTTAGAAATGAGGACTTGGGTCCAGAAAGATAAAATAGAAAGGGGACAAATAAAGAGAAGGAGACAAAATGAAAAGGGAAGGTCCTCTCCTTGGGCATTCCAAAGGCCATCATGCCCTATGGTCCAGATAAGAGAGCATTTGTTAATAAAAATTAAAAGACTTGGATCTAGCACCAGTGATTTTTCATTTTGTTCATCCATTCCCTAACAGCTTGTGAGCGTTCACTTCTAAAATAATAGAGACAGAAGAGACCAAGCCAGAATGACATTTCCCATCCACTCAATACATGTCTCAGTCCTGTCAGTGGGGCAACCACAGAGGAGGGATTGAGCAATAGAAACCCATTTTTACTGCCTTTAAAGGGCTATTTAAACATGCCACAGAGAACATGGCCCAATTCAGTGAAAGAGAAGCTCTTAGCAGCAGCTGCCTGCTCCATTTGGACTGTGTGGATCCACGCTCTGTCTCCACAGTGTCACAATTCTTCAACATGGGGAGGGCTGGCCTTGTGTCACATTTACCTGAGCGACCTAGGTTCCCAAATGTCTAAAAGAATGTGACTGAAGAGTCAAAGGCATACAGACAAAGACAATTTAGGAATATTTTGCTTATTGACCAAATAGGTGGGAATTCTTGCATGCAACAGATTGCCTTCTGAATACAATCCAAGTGCAGGGCCTCCCTTTATCATTCCAGCCCTCACATTCCAAGGACTTCCCAAACTTACCTGATGTTAGCAATCACTTCGAGTACTTGCTTTAAAAAGAAAAGCGTTTGCCAAAAAAAAGTACCCCTGAGATTCTGAGTTAATAGATTTAGGCGAAACCTAAAAAGAAACCTCTTTTTTTTTTTTTTTTTTAATTCCCACAGATACGAACACTTACAGAAGTAATTCTTTTGGTCTGACATGTTCAGGAGGCTCTAGTGTGCCCTATTCACCACCTAAACTGCATTTCTTTCTGTCGTTTAGTTTCGTTTTGTTTTGTTTGAGACAGGACCTTGCTCTGTCACCCAGGCTGGAGTGCAGTGGTGCCATTACACCTCACTGTAGCTTCGACTTCCTGGGGCTCAGGTAGGTGATCCTTCCACCATGCCCAGCTAATTTTTGTATTTGTGGTAGAGACAAGGTTTCATCATGTTGCCCAGGCTAGCCTCGAACTCTTGGGTTTAAGAGATCCACCCACCTTGGCCTCCCAGAGTGCTGGGATGGCAGGTGTGAGCCACTGCGCCTGGTCTAAACTGCATTTCTTTTTGCTCAAATAGTTCCCACTTCTTTCCTACCCATACTCTTTACATCACACATCTACCTATGCCGACTTCTAGATTCCCCAACTTCTGCCACCACATACTACGCTCTCCTATTGAAATCCTTGAAATTCTAGCCAATTCTCAGCTGGGATTTCTTGACCTCCCAACTTGAAAGTGGTCTCTTCCTGTCCACTCTAACATGCAGTCCAGTTTGTACTTGTCTTGTGGCACATGCTCCCATTTTACCTCGCTATAGGAATAGTACCCGTCATACCTCCTTGCTAGACTGCAAACGTGTTGAAGGCAGTAGCTATGTCTTCGGATAGCCCCACAGATATCAAATGCTTAGCACAGTGCATGGGCCATTGTGCCTCCTCCAGAAGGAATATTCCCCCCTTCCCTTTTCTCTTTCATACCCCTTCTGTGCATAGCAACAGGCTTTGCATAAAGTATCTGTTTACTAAATGTATGTTGAATAAATGAGTAACTGAAATAAGAACTTTTGGAGACTTTTGTTAATTTGTGTTACTTTTTGATTCAGATAAAACACGCTTGGGAAAAAGTACCTGGAGGCATTTAGCATACAGAAAGGAGATGTTTTGTTTTTCTCTATAGGCAACTCATAAGTTACAATGCCAAAGTCTTGGCTGTTGAATTTTGGGACATTTTTAGAATAAACAAGCATTTAACTGAGTATCTAGAATGTTATACAGAGCTCTTCAGAGAACTAAAGAAGGATACAAAATAAATGGGGGAAAGGTTCTCCTATTCTCATCAACACAGAGTTTTGTTTAAATATAACGAAATACATGGGGCGCAGCAGCTCACACCTATAATCCCAGCACTTTGGGAGGCGGAAGCGGGAGGATGGCTTTGTTACAGTAGGTAACTAGTCAGGCATAACCAGGGTAGGAGAGGGCTCCCCACCACACCTCACCAGCAAAGTCAGGCAACCATCAGGTGATGGTCAGGCAGTTGTCCCACTGCCTCTCTAAAATAATAATTGGTTACAGCCAGCATCAAAGAAAGGCAGGTCCCTTATAGATAGAAAACACCTGAAATTGGTGATTGACAGCTTCTCAATTAAGATCTCAGGAACTGGGTGAGCGGGCTCAAGCATGAGCATTAAGAACCAAAATGGCGGAGTATGACCTTCCCGGGTCATTCCACCTGAAAAGGGACGAAGTCCCAGGCAAGCATGTGCCAGACTCCAGTAAACACACTGTGCATGCTCACCTCCCAGGCGCCAATTGGCCACTGCACATGCTGGCAGGTCACCCTAAGGGAAGAATCAAGGAAAAAGGGACACAGGAGCCCGGAAGTATGCCAACATATAACACCCTAAGTCAAAGGTCAAAAGCCGCACTTGACCTCCAAGATGCCCACTTGGGCCTTTTCCAAGTGTACTTTCCTTCCTTTCCTTCCTTCCTGCTCTAAAGCTTTTTAATGAACTTCCATTCCTGCTCTGAAACTTGCCTCCGTCTATTTTTCTGCTTTATGCCCCTCAGTCGAATTCTTTCTTCTGAGGAGGCAAGAACTGAGGTTGCTGCAGACCCCTACGGATTCGCTACTGGAAACTCAGATAACTTCCACTAGTAACAGCTTGAGCCAGGAGTTCAAGACCAGCCTGAGCAACATAAGGAGACAGTCTCTACAAAAAAAATTGTTTTTAATTAGCTGGGCAAGCTGGGCTGGAGGATCACTTGAGTCCGGGAGGCTGAGGTTGCAGTGAGCTGTGATGGCACCACAGTACTCCAGCCTGGGTGACAGAGCAAGACCCTGTCTCCAAATATATATGTGTGTGTGTGTGTATGTGTGTGTGTGTAGAGTCTCACTTTATATAGATAGATACATAGATAGATCTCTATATATACCCAATATTATATTATTAAATCATTATATTATGAAATATATTAAATACAATCATTATATTATTAAAATATTAATTGTTGCAGCAATTTCACTTAGTGGAAATTTCAGCCAATGTGCCAATTATTACCAATTATTCCAACTGCCACAAGAGATTGTTTTGCTCACTTTAGATGATGAAGTGATCTATAAATTGATTCTTCAGTTCATTCTCCAGTTTCTTATTTCTTTTCTTTTTTTTTTTTTGAGATGGAGTCTCACTTTTGTCACGCAGGCTGGAGTGCAGTGGCGCGATCTCGGCTCACTGCAACCTCTGCCTCCCAGGTTCAAGCAATTCTCTGGCCTCAGCTTCCTGAGTAGCAGGATTACAGGCACCTGCCACCACTACTGGCTAATTTTTGTATTTTTCATAGAGACAGAGTTTTGCCATATTGGCCAGGCTGATCTTGAACTCCTGACCTCAGGTGATCTGCCCACCTTGGCCTTCCAAAGTGCTGGGATTATAGGCATGAACCACTGCGCCTGGCCAATTCTCCAGTTTCTTGAGTTGAAATTAAGCTTTCTTCTGTTCCATTTTGATGTGTAACCCCGGCTTTGCTAGGTCCTCTCCTGCAAAATACCAATTTAATTGGATAATGATCACTTGTCCTTGTATTATTCTTATAAACATCCCTATACAACTGGATGTAATTTCTTCAGAAATCAGGGAGAATTCTACATAGCAAAGAAATCTTTTCCAGATATACTTTTGAGATTGTGTATTAGTATTATGATATAAAACTACAAAACAGCCATGTTCTGATGTTGACCGTGTAACTCTGACCACATTATGGCAAGCATACATTCACATTTAAAAAAAGAAAAAAACTTTAAAAACACAATTAACCAATGTTTCTTAACATCCAGCTATTTGGCATTACAAAAACAAAACATCTGGCTAGCAATTACATGTATTTAGTTATCACGAAGATATTTTGCTTCCTATAAGACTGTATAAGAATCTTAAAAATCTTATTAAATTTTTTTGATAATCACCTCCATGGTCAAAGTAATCAAGGTAACAGAAATTTGAAATGTAAATTGTTTCCTGCCTTCAAACAATGCTCATTGTTGTTGGCTCTAACCTCTGATGAATGCATAGCTTGTAAATTTCTTCTGAATGCATTGCATTCCAATCTTCACAAGTGAGGACTTTAAATAGCAGCTTATCATTATGTCAAAATTCCTTAATGCTTTAACACCAGAAAGAAGGCATATAAGGAAAATAAGAAATCGAACGGTTCCAGACCATCACACTGCTATTTATATGGTAAATGGGACACACAGTGACCTCTAAGAATTGTAATTGTTCAACTGTATGATACAGCTGGTACATATAAAAGATGAGTTCTTTAGGAACTGGTTAAACAAAAAGATTCATTTGGAACTAGCTCTAATGCCTTTCAGTTACATAACGTAAGATGTGAAAAACTTCTATGCATATGTCCTGTGGCATTATACAAAAATAGCATCTCTCAGTGCAACTTGATCACCAGATAATACTGAGGATGGAGACAGGTAACAAGTAACAATAAATTGTGGCTATGCAGCTTTAACCACAAAAAAGAAAAAAGTAACCTGGTGAACTCTCCAGTTAGTAATCAGGCTCCTTTCATTCATTTGAATTATAAATACACAGAGAAGAAAAGAAAGAAAAGATCCACAAATATTTTACCTCAATTAATTCCAACAGAATGTTGGAACGTGGATGTCAGACTCGACCGTTATTAAGCCTGGTATACAATTACAGCAAAACATCTTGCAGAATCTTGAAGCAATCATTTTCATTTTTCATTTCTACTTCATGGCTAAAAATTACCATTTCAAATTTTGATGAGTAATCCACATCAATTTTGGATATTTTAAAAGTCACATAGACCTGAAGACATTATAAAATTTACAAAAACATTCAGATACAGGTAACTGTAGTTATCAGATAGGATGCTACAATATTAGCACTGCTTTTTTAGAATGATACCTATGTGGTAAGTAGAAAAACAAATGTATACCCTTTATCCTCCTCAGTTATATCTATATGACTGAAATATCACCTGAGGCAGAATATTCTGTGTTGGAACAAAATAATCATTTGAATGTGAAATGTTGTATACCAGTCAAGACAGCTCTGATGCTCTCCTTTGCCAGAATGTAAGCTCTTTTAGGGCAGAATTATTTGCATGCCTAGTGCTGATCACCTCTGTGCCTAGAATAGTATCTGACATATATTTAGGCGCCCACTAAATATTTGTTGAATATATGAGTGAATTCAGTCTTTGAACAAATACTTCCTGAGAGTCTTTTTTTGTGTGTGTGGAGACAGGGTCTCACTCTATCGCCCAGGCTAGAGTGCAGTGGTGCAATCTCAGCTCACTGCAACCTCTGCCTCCCAGGTTCAAGTGATCCTCCCACCTCAGCCTCCCGAGTAGCTGGAATTGCAGGCGCACACCACCACACGGAGCTAATTTTTGTATATTTAGTAGAGATGAGGTTTCGCCATGTTTCCCAGGCTGGTCTTGAACTCCTGAGCCCAGGCAATCCACTGGCCTCGGCCTCCCAAAGTGTTGAGATTACAGGCATGAGCCACCGCGCCTAGCCTGAGAGTCTTGGTTAACTATCACAGGTGTGATACCTAAATATAGGATACTAGGATACTTGGCCTTCAGAGAAAATAGAGGGCATTTCAAACCAGGTGACCACAAACCTACTGTTTAGGTAATTTGAAAGGAAAACAAAAAAAAAGAAACAATTGAGAACTTAGCCTTGGTTCCTTCTGTGAAAGCAGCAGAGTAAGATAGTAAGGAGGAACTTCAGGAAATTTAGCCTGAGGTTGCGAACAGTCAGTCCGCTGTGCTTCGTCTAGACATTTTGGGAGAAGAAAAAGGGGACTAGCAAGATTTCACACAACTATATGCGTGGCCATGTTATTGTTTGTTTGCTTTTAATTGTTGTCTAAATTTCTGATTTCTGAAAGGGGCTCTAGCACAAGCGCTAAACACCTGAAAGAAGCTACTCTGGCCATGTTGGTCATCAAAACAAACCAGGAGGAATTACCTGTTCTCATAAGAGTTCAAGTCCAGTTTTTCCAACTCCAGAGACAGAACATTTGCCTGAGAAATGAAACCTTCTGAGGGTCATCCAAAACAAGCCCAAAAACCTTTTGAGTTTCTCCAACTGCTACTTATCTTCTACCATAATTCTGCTTATAATTATAAGTTTGTCTGATATGATCCCTGATCCATTTTTTTTTTTTACATATGTCAGTTTTTCTATTTTATAGTTGTGCTAGGAGCGGTTTAAAGTTGTGGTGTCATAGAAGTTAAATCAGACAAACTTTTTAAGTGCTACCAAAATTACCTGAAATGTGTGTGTGTGTATATATATACACATATAAATATACATATATATTCTTTATATAGCTTATCTCTGATTCATTTCATTGGATTTAATACAGTGGGATGTGTTAAAATATAAATAAAGTGCATCTTTTTCTGTGATTAGTAAAAAGCTGTTCCTAAGATTTGCTTAACCTCTGCTGTGTGCAATTGCCAATGGATCCCATTAAAGGGTTGGTTTGATGCTGGCTAATCTGAATTCCCAGCAGTTCAGGCTGAAGGAATTGTTTCAGGGCACTGAGACCAATCAGGAGAAAAGACATCCAACAACAGAATCGCTATAGGATTGTCACACTATCTGTTTACATTTTGATGATACTGTTTAGAAGACAATGTTCAGGCACTGTTCTTGCTGAATGTTTAATGTGCCCAAGTATCAAACTGAGTGCTCTACTGCAGGACCCCAGGTGTGTCTTCTTTCTTTAAGCTTAGGCAGAAAGCACAGCAGCCTCCCACTGCTGTTGTATAGTTCATTCCAAGCTTTGCTTGAGCCTCCCACTGCTGTTGTATAGTTCATTCCAAGCTTTGCTTGAGCCTCCCACTGCTGTTGTATAGTTCATTCCAAGCTTTGCTTGATTCTGTGGACCCAGACAGTGCTCCGACCTAAGCTACCTCTAAGTAACACGCACCCTTGACTCAACACAAAGCCAGCCCCGCCCACTTCTGCATGTAAAGACGCAAAGTGCTTGCCTTCCAGAGGGTGGTTTCTCACAGCAGTGAGTAGGAATAAACATTGAGTCAGACAAATGATCAATGGCTGCTCTTTGGAGGAACCAGTACTCTTTGCTTTGCTTTTAGATGGGTGAGCTCAGAGGCACTAAAAGATTCGTTTCTATAGCATCATTTATTCTGGGGCAACAAAAAATGGTTTGGCAGTCTCTTCCAATTGTTTTTATTTTGTATTATTTGATATATTTACTATATGACCCAGCTATCCTACTCCTAGGTATTTACCTAAGATAAATGAAAACATGCTCATAGTAAAATGGGCACACCTCTATTCATAATTGCTAAAAATGGGAGGCAATCCAAATGTTCTTCATTCAGTGAATGGATAAATAGCCATTGGATGGAATGCTACTCAGCAATAAAAAGGAGCAAACCACTGATACACGCAACAACTTGGATGAATCTCAAGTGCATTAGGCTGAATGAAAAAAGGCAGTCTCAAAAAGTGGCATACTGTATGATTCCATTAAAACAACACTTTCAAAAATATGTATACAACCATAGCAACAAAGAACAGATCAATACTTACCAAGGATTATTTGTGAGAGCAGAGCATTGACCTAGAGGGTGATGGAATTATTCTGTATCCTGAATGTGGTGGTGGTTACACAAATCTCTGCAAGCGTCAAAACTCATAGAATAGGCCAGGTACAGTGGCTCACGCCTGTAATCCCAGCACTTTGGGAGGCCAAGGTGGGTGGATCACCTGAGGTCAGGAGTTTAAGACCAGCCTGGTCAACATGGCGAAACCCCGTCTCTACTTAAAAAAAAAAAATGTTAGCCAGGCGTGGTGGTGCGTGCCCGTAATGCCAGCTACTTGGGAGTTTGAGGCAGGAGAATCGCTTGAACCCGGGAGGCAGAGATTGCAGTGAGCTGAGACTGCGCCACTGCATTCCAGCCTGGGTGACAGAGGGAGACTCTGTCTCAAAAAAAAAAAAAAAATCACTCATAGGATAAAAAATCAAAGTCAATGTCGACTTTACTGTTTGTGAATTTAAATAATCCAAAACAAACACACACTGAGTGGTGGGAATAGCAGAAAACTAGTATTTGAAGAGACCATAGGTGAAAATTTTCCAGAGTTCTTCCACCCTTTCTGAGGAGTGATGGCCCAGGGAGAGAACAAAACCTGCAGAAGTGAGTGCATCTCAGCACAGATGACAAGCTCTCTAGTTGCTCTTGGAACCAGAGTGATACATCCGCCACCATCACTCTGGATACAGACAGAAGCCATGGAGTATGATTACCATTTGAGGGGTTCCGATGACTCCCCACCACCACCCCTTAGCCTGCCATGACCTGAAATTGTTAGCATTAGAGACCTTCCCCAGGCTTAAAGCAGGTGTCTTCATTGTGCTATTCCCATATAAACATGCTAACTAGGAAAAAGAATCCATTATCACTTTACCAAGAGGTTTTTCAGATAAAATAGATTCTGAATTCTGGGAGAACAGCACACAAGGCAGCTGTATTTGCTGAAAGGACAGAGAGGAGAAGGCTGGATCAAGGGAAGTTACCAAGTAAGGGAGCCCTAAGGAAATCAGCGGAAGCAACAAAGGCCACCAGTGAGGACAGTTCCCCAAGAGGGGACAAGGCAGCCATGTCAACACAATTCATTGCCCATAAACACCATGTCTGTGTCCATCAATATTAAAATCAGCCCAAGCTGCAGAGCACATGAACTATGCATAATGGATCTCATAATTTAAACCTGACTGATTGTAAGTTCCTCAGAGACAGGACCTATTTATCTCAGGGTAGTGATCCTTCCTGTGCTCCCAGAAGGAGCTTAATAGTTTTCCAAATGAATGGAATGGATGATTGAACATGCAAAGTTTATTAAGGAGGTCAGACTGATGATGACAACACCTCAACCAAATCCCTTTCAAGTTTCTCTTTCCCATTTTCCACCCTGAAACTCTTTGGTCCATAAAACAAATTCTCATACCTTGTCAGAGTAGAAGCACTGCCTTAGAACCGCATAAACACTTCCTCTGAGTTTACAGAAGTGGATTAAATGAACAGGGCAATATCATATATTTTTCTCAGTAGTTTGGACAATTTTTCCTGGACTATGTTTTCTTCCTCTTTAACCTGTCCCGCCTTGACCTACCTTGTCCCTGCCATGTCCTCACTCTACCATGCTAAAAATTCATTTTACTATTCTCAAGAAACATTCTCCTCCTCTGGAAAATAGCAAAGTTTGGAGATCAACTACATTTCTGAAATCCAATCTCAAAAATGACTCCAATACCATCTAAATGTGTTGACCAGGCTGGGCGTGATGGCTCACGCCTGTAATCCCAGCACTTTGGGAGGCCAAGGCAAGAGGATTGTTTGAGCTCTAGACCAGCCTGGGCAACACAGTGAGACCTCGTATCTATTATTTTTAAAAAATAAATAAATAAATAAAAATATGTTGACTGTCTAAGAGTTGAGGTAGGTAATTGGACATAGGTTTCATTTGCTCTGTTCTGGAATTAGCATCTTTCTTTCAAATTTCACTACCACACACATTAGTCTTCTTTTTTCCTTCCTTTTTTGTAATATGGACATCAGAACAATTATTCAGTTATTATACAGATGCACCAATACACATCGCCAAAGGACATTATACACAATAATCCTTATTACGTTTATCTTCATACACAAAGGATATTTCCCTTTGAACAATGCCTTTCTCTGATAAACTTGTTTAGTACAGGAAGCATTTACATAGAATTCTATCTCCAACAAGTATTGTCTGGTTGTCTGGGTGCTTTTTACCGTCAGTTTTTATTGAAATTATATTTTTATGTATGCATGCACGTTTACTATAGACCATACATATAGTAATCACACACAAACACGTGAACTGTGACTGTCTGAAGACTTCTGTACTATGTGGAAGCATGAAAATGTTAAGCAGGCATCACTGGTACTGGCTCCAGCCACATAGTATCTCTTTTCATTAAAACAGAACTTTTTTCAGCAGTAAGAGCATGGCAAGACCTGAAGGAGGTCCAGCCTTCTGGCATAGAAGCGGAGACACAGCTCTACTGTTTAACACTGAAATGCTATTTATTAGATAAACATTACATTGAAATAGCCAAAGAACACACAAGGCCATTACAAGAGTGAGCTTTTTTTTTTTTTTTGCCACCACTTATTTATTTTTATGTTATCTCCTTAAAGAAGGACTTTCATACCAGAGCAACCTTGGGGAAAATGAGACCCACAAAAACAGCATTCATGGTGGCGATTTTCTAGACCCTCCATTCTATTATTTTGGATATTTCCTTTTGAACATGGCTTTCTTTCCCACAGCTATGCTTGGCCTCCTGGTTTGCAATGACGTTATGTCTGTGTTGGTGACTTCCCCAACTGCCACTGGGAAAATTAGTGCCACAAATTTAACATAAAGAGCTAAATTCTAGCCTCAGTTGTTTCACTCTAATTCAAGGACTCTTTGGCTATAAATGTAGTCCTGATACGGTCTTTTTTTTTTTTTTTTTACTACTTTCAGGAATGGATGAAAAAAAAAGGCAAAAATAAAATCCATATGCCAGATATATGGTATCCAATGTATGCCAATCCATATGCCAGATATATGGTATCCAATATATGCCAATCCATACGCCAATATTGTATCCAATTCCTCCCAACTTTATCAACAAATATTTATCAGGCACATTCCATTTGAAAGACAGCAGGGGCTACTAGAAAATGAGAAACAATATTATTGTCAAAGAACTTTTGATCTATAGGAACACAAGAGGAAGAAAATCTGACTACCATAGATGCAACCACTTCTAGGTGTGCACTGAAAGAAAAATACAAATACATGGAAATTGGGAGAACGAAGAAAGTAGATTAATAAAGCTTTCATGAAGAAAAATGATTTGAGCTGGGTCTTAAAGAATGATTAAAAATGCAAAAGTATGAAATTGGAGAAAATAGAGGAGAACGACGTACCACATCAGAAACAAGCTAATGAGGTGCATCTTGAAGAACAGCGTGTGGCCGTGTACCATTTGGGCACCATACGTTGCCTTCATGTGGCTCTCCAGCTCTGGCTCATGCTAATCAGTGTCCCAGGCTTTTAAGGGAAGGGTTGACTTGACCTGTAATTGGCATGGCCCAAGAGAGCCAAGGTCAGAAAGAAATTAGGTTAGAACTGCCAGGCACGGTGGCAATCCCAGCACTTTGGGAGGCTGAGGTGGGTGGATCACTTGAGGTCAGGAGTTTGAGACCAGCCTGGCCAATATGGTGAAACCCCATCTCTACTAAAATTACTAAAATTAGCCGGGTGTGGTGGCACATGACTGTAATCCCAGCTACTTAGGAGGCTGAGGCAGGAGAATTGCTTGAACCCCGGAGGTGGAGGTTGCAGTGAGCTGAGAGTGTACCACTGCACTGCAGCCTGGGCAACAGAGTGAGACTGCGTCTCAAAAAAAAAAAAAAAGAAAAGAAAAGAAAAAGAAATTATGTTGGACCTATTTGTAATCTAAAGAATCAGAAGACAGATCCTAAGAATGTTAAGATAAATTGAATACATATTGCTAAAAATGAATAAAAACTTCAAACTCCTGAAGCTCACTGTTATTAGTTGTAGAACCAAATGAGTCTCAGTAAATACTCTTTTCAGTAGTGAATGAATTCATGATGGAAAGAGTCAAAAAATTTATAAAGATTTTGCAGGTTGGTAAAACTATTCGTAACTGTTAGATTTTGGTCAATCTACCTGGAAACAGAGGTTTCAAATCTGTCAATATTTGCTAAAATAAACGACATTTAAAACATGGCCTGTTTATTTAAAGATTGTTCATATTCAAATATCTAAACTATTTCATTGGGCATACATGTGTTCTCCTAGAGCATGCTTTTGTAGCTAGAGATGGGGAGAAATTCTTGGAGCAACCCACACTTGATTTCATGGTTGTTGAAAATTAGGGTGTTTCTTAACTTTCTTCTTGAGCCTCCACTTTTTAAAGAGAACTGCTATAACAGTATTTATGCCTAAAATTTCCTAACATCACCTAGCAAGATATAAAATGTAAGACAGAAAAGATCAATTGCTGCTGAAAATGCAACCTCATCACAATTTATTTTTAAAGCCCAGGACTAATGAAAAAAGAGTAAATCTATTTGTTTTTAAAGAAAAGCTTTCTTCAGTTCTACTTTAAGAGATGATTAATGGCAGTGATTTTCTTGTGTGTTCCGCTGATCCTACTGAACTGCCTTGCCTGAATTCAAGTGGCAGTTGGGGCTAAATAGCTTTATATCTTCTGGTATCACATGTCCTGGCTCAAATGTAATTACAAGTTTCTAGAGGCTGAATATAAAGAACTCATTTAGAACAGCTGTTTAGGTTGTTTACTATAGACCATACATACAGTTACTCAGAACTGTAAACTCATTCAGTTACTAATAGGCCTTTTAAAAAATGAATAAACCTCTTGAAACTGGGAGGTTTGACTTTAATCAGTGCTCCAATGTTCAATCTTGCCTTTGCCGTTAGACCCAAGTCCAAAAGTGGGGTTTGATTTTGTGCCATTACAGCAGTCTGTGTGCTCACCCTGACCTGGTTCTCCAGTGCTCACTAAACTGCCTTAGCAGCTGACAACTAAAAAAAGGAAGTGCCTCTTTATCTGCTAAAGAGAAATGACAGCTGTCAATCTGGAACTATGAGTCACAGAGAACCGCTCCTTGTTTACTCTACAGTTTTAAAGCAACAATAATCCCAGAAAATTCTAAAGAGCAAATTGGTACCCTCAGTGTATTTTGAGTTTGGTTTGTGTTGTTTTCATTTTAAGCTTTCATTTGTATAGTCAATATTTTGTCCTTGTTTTTCTTCAGCTTCCTTTTAACCAAAAAAAAGTAAAATTGTGTATTTTCTACCCTGTTTCAAAAGTTGAAAAATCCTGTGACACAAATCATTGTGAAAAGCAACCTGTCACACAGCTGAGTGTTACAGTTTCCACAAGGCAGTAGTAATATTAGCTAGATTAAACACCACTGGAATTTTCATGAAATTGTGTTTACTTCTAATGAGATATTTTTTGAAACATTAACAAGTTGATTTGTTCTTTTTCAAATCAGCCTCATTTCTTTTCCCAGGAATAAAAAAGATTATTACTGTTGTTTATTTAATCTGGTAGCTCTCAGACTGCTTTTCACCCATATCCGAAACAAAATTATGAAGATCATATATCTTCAAATATAATATTTCCATATGTAATTGTGAGACCAGCTCTCCTGACTAGTAAATGACTGGAAAGATTGGGTTTCGTTACACAATAAATGGAATTTCTGCCATTTCTAATATTCTACTGTACGTATGTACATTCATGTGTGGATATGTAGTCCTCATCACAATGGGCAAGAAGCATTCAAATAATAAGATCCCAGAACTATTGCTGCCAGGAATATCAAATGGGATGCACAAGAGATTTCATGCATCTGTATTTCTGCCCAATGGGGAAATCTATTTTCAGTTCTATCTCCAAGCAGAGTTGTTTTTCCTGCCAGAGCTGGCTTAATACTCTCCTCCCAGTACTATGATATGCAGAATGCTGACTCTTTAAGGAGAACACACAAACCAAAGCATACACAAATGCAGGAGAGCATGCAGAAGTGTAGACTAGGGTGAGGGGGCCTCACTTAAGATGCAGCCATTGTTGCTCACAGGTGTTAAAAGAAGAACTTAAGACAAACTGAACTTAACAGAGTTCAGCTGAGCAAGGAACAATTCTCCAGTCAGGCAGCCCCCAAACCAGAATAGGTTCAGAACAACTTCCGCATGTGGTCACAAAGGATTTGTTGACAGAAAAAGGAAAGCAAGGTATGGAAAATGGAAGTGAGGTACCAAAATCACTGGATTGGTTACATCTCAGCCTGTGCCTTATTTGAACACGGTTTAAACAGTTGCTCACCTTAGACTGGCCAAAACTCAGTGATTGGTGCAAGAGTTGGTTACAGTCATTTGACGCAGCCTGTTAGGTTACAGTTCACTACATATGGAGAAACTTTCGGACCAAACTTAAAACATGTAAAGAGGCAGCTTTAGGCTTAATTTAATGTAAGTATAACAGACGAGAATTTGCAGGGCATATTGGAGAAAAGCCAAGCCTCCTATAAAAATCAAATGATTTAATGAAAATGAATGTTTTAAAGGCCTGAACTTGGAGCAAGAGAATAATGAAAGACTGATGATGGTCTGTGATTGCTCATAGCAGATACCAAAATTTCATGGACCTTGCACAGTGGCTTGTGGGGATCAGAACTGTTCATTCTATCAAAGGTTATTTCCAGGGGTTGGGGAACCAAGATGGCCAAATAGGAACAACTCCAGTCTACAGCTCCCAGCCTGAGCAATGCAGAAGACGGGTGATTTCTGCATCTCCAACTGAGGTACTAAGTTCATCTCACTGGTGAGTGTTGGACAGTAGGTGCAGGACAGTGGGTGCAGTGCACCAAGTGTGAGCTGAAGCAGGGCAAGGCATCGCCTCACCTGGGAAGCATAAGGGGTCAGGGAATTCCCTTTCCTAGTCAAAGAAAGGGGTAACAGACGGCACCTGGAGAATCGGGTCAATCCCACCCTAATTCTGCACTTTTCCAACAGTCTTAGCAAACAGCACACCAGGAGATTATATCCCGCGCATGGCTCAGAGGGTCCTATGCCCACGGAGCCTCGCTCATTGCTAGCACAGCAGTCTGAGATCAAACTGCAAGGCGGCAGCTAGGCTGGGGGAGGGGCACCTACCATAGCAGAGGCTTGCATAGGTAAACAAAGCGGCCAGGAAGCTCGAACTGGGTGGAGCCCACCACAGCTCAAGGAGGCCTGCCTGCCTCTGTAGACTCCACCTCTGGGGGCAGGGCATAGCCAAACAAAAGGCAGCAGAAAACTCTGCAGACCTAAATGTCCCTGTCTGACAGCTTGGAAGACAGTAGTGGTTCTCCCAGCACACAGCTGGAGATCTGAGAATGGACAGACTGCCTCCTCAAGTGGGTCCCTGACCCCCAAGTAGCCTAACTGGAAGGCACCCCCCAGTAGGGGCAGACTGACACCTCACACAGCCAGGTACTCCTCTGAGACAAAACTTCCAGAGGAACGATCAGGCAGCAACATTTGCTGTTCACCAATACCCACTGTTCTGCAGCCTCCGCTGCTGATACCCAGGCAAACAGGGTCTGGAGTGGACCTCCAGCAAATTCCAACAGACCTGCAGCTGAGGGTCCTGACTGTTAGAAGGAAAACTAACAAACAGAAAGGACATCCACACCAAAACCCCATCTGTACGTCACCATCATCAAAGACCAAAGGCAGATAAAACCACAAAGATGGGGAAAAAACAGAGCAGAAAAACTGGGAACTCTAAAAATCAGAGTGCCTCTCCTCCTCCATAGGAATGCAGCTCCTCACCAGCAATGGAACAAAGCTGGACACAGAATGACATTAACGAATTGAGAGAAGAAGGCTTCAGATGATTAAACTACTCCAAGCTAAAGGAGGAAGTTCGAACCCATGGCAAAGAAGTTAAAAACCTTGAAAAAAAAATTAGACAAATGGCTAACAAGAATAACCAATGCAGAGAAGTCCTTAAAGGACCTCATGGAGCTGAAAACCACGGCATGAGAACTACATGACGAATGCACAGGCCTCAGTAGCCGATTCAATCCATTGGAAGAAAGGGTATCAGTGATGGAATATCAAATGAATGAAATGAAGTGAGAGGAGAAGTTTAGACAAAAAAGAATAAAAAGAAATGAACAAAGCCTCCAAGAAATATGGGACTATGTGAAAAGACCAAATCTACTTCTGATTGGTGTACCTGAAAGTGATGGTGAGAATGCAACCAAGTTGGAAAACACCCCACAGGATATTATCCAGGCGAACTTCCCCAAGCTAGCAAGGCAGGCCAATATTCAAATTCAGGAAATACAGAGAATGCCACAAAGATACTCCTCGAGAAGGGCAACTCCAAGACACATAATTATCAGATTCACCAAAGTTGAAATGAAGGAAAAAATGTTAAGGGCAGCCAGAGAGAAAGGTCAGGTTACCCACAAAGGTAAGCCTATCAGACTAACAGCTGATCTCTCAGCAGAAACTCTACAAGCCAGAAGAGAGTGGGGGCCAATATTCAACATTCTTAAAGAATTTTCAACCCAGAATTTCATATCCAGCCAAACTAAGCTTCATAAGTGAAGGAGAAATAAAATACTTTACAGATGAGCAAATGCTGAGAGATTTTGTCACCACCAGGCCTGCCCTAAAAGAGCTCCTGAAGGAAGTGCTAAACATGGAAAGGAACAACTGGTACCAGCCACTGCAAAAACATGCCAAATTGTAAAGACCATCGAGGCTAGGAAGGAACTGCATCAACTAATGAGCAAAATAACCAGCTAACATCATAATGACTGGATCAAATTCACACATAACAATATTACTTTAAATGTAAGTGGGCTAAATGCTCCAATTAAAAGACACAGACTGGCAAATTGGATTAAGAGTCAAGACCCATCAGTGTGCTGTATTCAGGAAACCCATCTCACGGGCAGAGACACACATAGGCTCAAAATAAAGGGATGGAGGAAGATCTACCAAGCAAATGGAAAACAAAAAAAGGCAGGGGTTGCAATCCTAGTCTCTGATAAAACAGACTTTAAACCAACAAAGATCAAAAGAGACAAAGAAGGCCATTACATAATGGTAAAGGGATCAATTCAACAAGAAGAGCTAACTATCCTAAATATATATGCACCCAATACAGGAGCACCCAGATTCATAAAGCAAGTCCTTAGAGACCTACAAAAAGACTTAGACCCCCACACAATAATAATGGGAGACTTTAACACCCCACTGTCAACATTAGACAGATCAATGAGACAGAAAGTTAACAAGGATATCCAGGAATTGAACTCAGCTCTGCACCAAGCAGACCTAATAGACATCTACAGAACTCTCCACTCCAAATCAATAGAATATACATTCTTTTCAGCACCACACCACACCAATTCCAAAATCGACCACATAATTGGAAGTAAAGCACTCCTCAGCAAACGTAAAAGAACAGAAATTATAACAAACTGTCTCTCAGACCACAGTGCAATCAAACTAGAACTCAGGATTAAGAAACTCACTCAAAACCACTCAACTACATGGAAACTGAACAACCTGCTCCTGAATGACTACTGGGTACATAATGAAATGAAGGCAGAAATAAAGATGTTCTTTGAAACCAACGAGAACAAAGACACAACACACCAGAATCTCTGGGACACATTCAAAGCAGTGTGTAGAGGGAAATTTATAGCACTAAATGCCCACAAGAGAAAGCAGGAAAGATCTAAAATTGACACCCTAACATCACAATTAAAAGAACCAGAAAAGCAAGAGCAAACACATTCAAAAGCTAGCAGAAGGCAAGAAATAACTAAGATCAGAGCAGAACTGAAGGAGATAAAAGACACAAAAAACCCTTCAAAAAATCAATGAATCCAGGAGCTGGTTTTTTGAAAAGATCAACAAAATTGATAGACCACTAGCAAGACTAAAAAAGAAGAAAAGAGAGAAGAATCAAATAGATGCAATAAAAAATGATAAAGGGGATATCACCACCAATCCCACAGAAATACAAACTACCACCAGAGAATACTATAAACGCCTCTATGCAAATAAACTAGAAAATCTAGAAGAAATGAATAAATTCCTTGACACATACACCCTCCCAAGACTAAACAAGGAAGAAGTTGAATTTCTGAATAGACCAATAACAGGCTCTGAAATTGAGGCAATAATTAATAGCTTACCAACCCAAAAAAGTCCAGGACCAGATGGATTCACAGCCGAATTCTACCAGAGGTACAAGGAGGAGCTGGTACCATTTTTTCTGAAACTATTCCAAACAATAGAAAA
Source organism: Homo sapiens (assembly GCF_000001405.40). Classification (NCBI taxonomy): domain Eukaryota; kingdom Metazoa; phylum Chordata; class Mammalia; order Primates; family Hominidae; genus Homo; species Homo sapiens. The sequence continues at coordinate 42,655,910 of NC_000012.12, read as the reverse complement.
AGAGGGAATCCTCCCTAACTCATTTTATGAGGCCAGCATCATCCTGATACCAAAGCCTGGCAGAGACACAACAAAAAAAAGAGAATTTTAGGCCAATATCCCTGATGAACATTGAAGCAAAAATCCTCAATAAAATACTGGCAAACCAAATCCAGCAGCACATCAAAAAGCTTATCCACCATGATCAAGTGGGCTTCATCCCTGGGATGCAAGGCTGGTTCAACATATGAAAATCAATAAACGTAATCCAGCAGATAAACAGAACCAAAGACAAAAATCACATGATTATCTCAACAGATGCAGAAAACGCCTTTGACAAAATTCAACAACCCTTCATGCTAAAACTTTCAATAAATTGGGTATTGATGGGACGTATCTCAAAATAATAAGAGCTATCTATGACAAACCCACAGCCAATATCATACTGAATGGACAAAAACTGGAAGCATCCCCTTTGAAAACTGGCACAAGACAGGGTTGCCCTCTCTCACCACTCCTATTCAACATAGTGTTGGAAGTTCTGGCCAGGGCAATCAGGCAGGAGAAAGAAATAAAGGGTATTCAAGTAGGAAAAGAGGAAGTCAAATTGTCCCTGTTTGCAGATGACGTGATTGTGTATCTAGAAAACCCCATCATCTCAGCCCAAAATCTCCTTAAACTGATAGGCAACTTCAGCAAAGTCTCAGGATACAAAATCAATGTACAAAAATCACAAGCATTCTTATACACCAATAACAGACAAACAGAGAGCCAAATCATGAGTGAACTCCCATTCACAATTGCTTCAAAGAGAATAAAATACATAGGAATCCAACTTACAAGGGATGTGAAGGACCTCTTCAAGGAGAACTACAAAACACTGCTCAATGAAATAAAAGAGGATACAAACAAATGGAAGAACATTCCATGCTCATGGGAAGGAAGAATCAATATCGTGAAAGTGGCCATACTGCCCAAGGGAATTTATAGATTCAATGCCATCCGCATCAAGCTACCAATGACTCTCTTCACAGAATTGGAAAAAACTACTTTAAAGTTCATATGGAACCAAAAAAGAGCCTGCATTGCCAAGTCAATCCTAAGCCAAAAGAACAAAGCTGGAGGCATCACGCTACCTGACTTCAAACTATACTACAAGGCTACAGTAACCAAAACAACATGGTACTGGTACCAAAACAGAGATATAGATCATTGTAACAGAACACAGCCCTCAGAAATAATGCTGCATATCTACAACTATCTGATCTCTGACAAACCTGACAAAAACAAGCAATGGGGAAAGGATTTCCTATTTAATAAATGGTGTTGAGAAAACTGGCTAGCCATATGTAGAAAGCTGAAACTGGATCCCTTCCTCACATCTTATACAAAAATTAATTCAAGATGGATTAAAGACTTAAATGTTAGACCTAAAACCATAAAAACCCTAGAAGAAAACCTAGGCAATACCATTCAGGACATAGGCATAGGCAAGGACTTCATGTCTTAAACACCAAAAGCAATGGCAACAAAAGCCAAAATTGACAAATGGGATCTCAGTAAACTAAAGAGCTTCTGCATAGCAAAAGAAACTACCATCAGAGTGAACAGGCAACCTATAGAATGGGAGAGAATTTTTGCAATCTACTCATCTGACAAAGGGCTAATATCCAGAATCTACAATGAACTCAAACAAATTTACAAGAAAAAAACAAACAACCCCATCAAAAAGTGGGCAAAGGATATGAACAGACACTTCTCAAAAGAAGACATTTATGCAGCCAAAAGACACATGAAAAAATGCTCATCATCACTGGTCATCAGAGAAATGCAGATCAAAACCACAATGAGATACCATCTCACACCAGTTAGAATGGCAATCATTAAAAAGTCAAGAAACAACAGGGGCTGGAGAGGATGTGGAGAAATTGGAACACTTTTACACTGTTGGTGGGACTGTAAACTAGTTCAAGCATTGTGGAAGTCAGTGTGGCGATTCCTCAGGGATCTAGAACTAGAAATACCATTTGACCCAGCCATCCCATTACTGGGTATATACCCAAAGGATTATAAATCATGCTGCTATAAAGAAACATGCACACGTATGTTTATTGTGGCACTATTCACAATAGCAAAGACTTGGAACCAACCCAAATGTCCAACAATGATAGACTGGATTAAGAAAATGTGGCACATATACACCATGGAATACTATGCAGCCATAAAAAATGATGAGTTCATGTCCTTTGTAGGGACATAGATGAAGCTGGAAACCATCATCCTCAGCAAACTATCGCAAGGACAAAAAAACAAACACTGGGCCGGGCGCGGTGGCTCACGCCTGTAATCCCAGCACTTTGGGAGGCCGAGGCGGGTGGAACATGAGGTCAGGAGATCGAGACCATCCTGGCTAACAAGGTGAAACCCCGTCTCTACTAAAAATACAAAAACTTAGCCGGGCACGGTGGCGGGCGCCTGTAGTCCCAGCTACTCGGGAGGCTGAGGCAGGAGAATGGCGTGAACCCGGGAAGCGGAGCTTGCAGTGAGCCGAGATTGCGCCACTGCAGTCCGCAGTCCGGCCTGGGCGACAGAGCGAGACTCCGTCTCAAAAACAAACAAACAAACAAACAAAAAAAACAAAAAAACCAAACACTGCATGTTCTCACTCATAAGTGGGAATTAAACAAGGAGAACACATGGACACAGGAAGGGGAACATCACACACCGGGGCCTGTTGTGTGGTGGGGGGAAGGTGGAGGGATAGCATTAGGAGATATACCTAATGTTAATTGAAGAGTTAATGGGTGCAGCGCACCAACATGGCACATGTGTACATATGTAATAAACTGCACATTGTGCACGTGTACCCTAAAACTTAAAGTATAATAAAAAAATAATAATAATAAGGTTATTTCCTCTTCTTTTTTTTTTTAATCACCAGACCCTGGCTCTGAACTGACAGCAGTTTATTTCATAAAAATGAACTAGAGGCTACCTTTAAGGCGCTTACATTCTAGAAGGGATCAGGGAAGAGAAAATAAACAGTAACACAAGTAAATAATATCAGGTGCTAATAGAAGTATAAAAAATACAGAACAGACTCCTGTGCTGGGGGTTGCTGGTAAGAGGTTGACTGTTGGGAGTGGGGGCAGTAATTTCAGTTGACAGGTGGGGACAGCCTCTGTGAGGGGGGAATATTTGAACTGAGCATGGGAACAAAGATTTCCAACCAGAAAATGCAAAGCACAAAGTTCCTAGCACAGAAAAAGGCTTTGTATTATTTTGCTAGGGCTACTATAACAAACACCACAGACAGGGCGACTTAAACAACAGAATTAATCTTCTCACCATTCTGGAGGCTTGAAGTCCAAGATCAAGATGCCAGGGTTGATTTCTTTTAAGGCCTCTCTCCTTGGCTCATAGATGGTTGTCTTTTCCTTGTGTCTTCACCTCATTTTCCCTCTGTATGTGTCTATAGGTGGAAAAGCAAACCATTTTCCTCTATACTCTCACAACACGCCTGTGACACCAGATGTGTGGGGATTTCTCCCATCGGCAAGCAAGTGATTGCACAGAGGACAACAGCGGGGTGTCCTCCAATTCAACTCAATTCTGACAATATCTACCTGGAGAGGGCATCAGATCACAAAGGTTGAGGACTCAGCTGCACAAGACTGCCCTCCACTTCTGACAACAATTGCAAGCCCCAGGTTATTTTGCCCGTGCTTCTGACTCACCAAGTATAAACCAGGGCTCCCACGAGCTGCTAGAGCAGGTCACAGAACTCAGGGAAACACTTACTTGGTTTATTACACAGGATATTTTAAAGGATACAAATAAACAGCCAGATGAAGAGAGGCATAGGGCAAGATCTGGAAGGGTCATGAGCCCAGGAGCTTCTGTCCGGGTGGAGCTGGGGTGCACCACCCTCCCAGCTCGTGGATGTCTTCTTGTTCATCTTCCTGGAAACTCTCGCATGCTCAGCTATCCACAAGCTCTTCCAACCCAGTTCTTTTGGGGTTTTAATGAAAGCTTTGTTACACAGATATGACTAATTAAATCAATCAGTCATTGGTAATCAACTTAAACCTCAGCCTCTCTCCCCTCCCTGGTTGTTGGGTGGTTGGAGTGTGGGGCTGACCACATGGCTAGTTCTCCCCTGGCAATGAGCACCCCATCATTTGCCCACCCTGAGTTTCCAAAAATCACCTCATTCACACCAGCTCAGATGTGGTTGAAAAGGCTTTGTTACGAATAACAAAAAAACATCTTTCTCCCTCACTTCTCTGAAGCTGTTTCTAGGGTGTTTCAAGAACCCAGGACAAAAGGCCAAATAATTTAACAAAAGATATTCTTATTGCTCTAGTCACTTAGGAAACAGCAAGGCTTACAGGAGCTGAGAACCCGGAATCATGGACAAAACCCAAAATATATACATCATAATATCATGGTCGTATTGAGTATACGTCATATTGGATTAGGGCCCACCCCAATGACCTCATTTTACCTTAACTGTCTCTGTAGAGGCCCCATCTCCAACTACAGTCACATTCTGAGGTACTGGGGCTTAGGACTTGGGCATATGACTTTAGGGGACTGAAAGGGCACTATTTGGCCTCTAATAGGCTGGGTGTGTTTTAGGGATAGAAAGAGCACCAGAGCGGCTGCAGTGTGGTCCATCCAAAGAGAGTAAATTGGGGGAAAGAGGGAGAGAGGACTCTGGATTTTATTCCACCTGTTTTTCCAAGGCTTAGCACAACCATAGCTAAGCCCTTTGTATGACTTCAGTGCTTTATTCAGTGTATTTTATTCTCAATATTTTTTGCATGGCTTACATATATCATTAACTTAGTGTATAGCGTTATATGTTTTCTGTGTTATTTTGAAATCACTGACACATAATAATGATAAAATAGTTCTTATGTCATACTATCATCATGAAGATCTAACTAGATTCAGGTAGGCACTCAGCACAGTCTAAAACATGGTAAGCACTCGCACATGGCAGCTACTTGTCATCCTCCTCATCATCGTGTTAATGGAAAGACCAAACTTTAAAATATTTTAAAGAGGCTTACTGTGAACTTGTATGAGTGACCATGGCCCAGGGAACAGTCTCAAGAGGTCCTGAGAAAGTGTGTCCAAGGTGGTCAGGTTACAGTTTGGTTATATACATGTTAGGGAGATGGGAATTGTAGACCAATTAATAAATCAATACAAAGCCAGGTGTAGTGGCTTACACCTGTAATCATAGCACTTAGTGCGCAGATCACTTGAGCTCAGGAGTTTGAGACCAGCCTGGGCAACATGGCAAAACCCTGACTTCACAAAAAATACGAAATTAGCCTGGCATGGTGGTGCACACCTGTAGTCACAGCTACTCAGGAGGCTGAAAAGGGAGGATCCCTGGAGCCCAGGCAGTCAAGGCTGCAGTGAGCTGTCATCATGCCACTGCACTCCTGGTGACAAAGGGAGACTGCCTCAGAAAAAAGTGGGGGAGGGCAGATTTTATGGTTTGTAGGATGTGACTTAACCCCTGCCTTGCATGGCCTTAGGTCTTCTTTGTAATTTGGTATCCCATTGCCACAAAGATTCTGTTTTGCCAGTCTTGTGACCTCTATTTTAACCTAAACCCCAAAAGAGTACAACAAGGTGTGTTCAGCCTCCCTTCCTGGCATGGCCTGGAATTTCGTTTTTTGGGTTTCTCTGGGGTTCCCTCAGCCAAGAGGGGGTCTGTTCAGTTCAGTCAGTTGGAGGGTTTAGGATTTTATTTCTGGCTTGCAATCATCAGGAGGCAAGCCCTAGTTCCCAGTCAGGGGCAATGTTCCCCCTAAATGCCAAAAAAGAGGACAACTTGAGGCTTGTCCTTGAAAAGCCTTCTCCAGACACTTCCTCAACTAACTACAGAGCTAGCTCAGAACATGAGAAAACAATACACTCGCCATCTTTGGAACACTGTAAGGAGACAGACTTGCTCTGTTTATTGGGATCCACCCACCTGGGACTGGGATTGTGCTGGCCTAGGCTGGAGGAAAGCTCACCCCACAGAGGGAAAGCAGACTTTCTCCCTCACACCTGCCACTGCCTGGCCCAACAGCGGAGCCTCTTGCCGGCCTTTCCCCATGCCCCAGCTTCTAAGGCAGCCCTTCCGTGCAACGCTCCTTCCCTAGCACCTGGAGCTACATAACCCGAACACAAGATAAGTAGAAGGGAGCATGTGAGAGTTTTCTGTCCCCAGTTGCTGGATAGAAAAGCCCTCAGAAAACTCCAGAAGGGCTCTGGTTTGTATGAACAACTGTTTTGTTCCATGGTGAGCAAGTAAGAACTGTTAAGTCAAGTGTAGCCTAAAGGTGCCTCCCTACATATTTTAAGTTCTGCATAAAGGTTTCTCTGTTCATAGCGAACTGTAACTTAACTGGATGTGTCAACAGACTATAGCCTCCTCTTGTGCCAATCACCAAGTTTTGGCCAATCAAAGGAAACCAACTGTTCAAACCTTGTTCAAATAAGGCAAATGCCAAGCTGTAACCAATCTGGCTGTTTCTGTACCTCACTTCCATTTTCCATATGTCACTTTCCTTTTTCCATCCATAAATCTTCCACCACGTGGCTGTGCACTGGAGTCTCTGAGCCTACCTGGGCTCTGGAGGCTGCCCAATTGGCGAATCGTTCTTTGCTCAAATAAACTCCATTAAATTTAATTTAGCTAAGGATTTTCTTTTAATGTAACAGAAGCCTTCAGTGACACTAGTGGCGATAGGTAAAAAGAAGCAGGTGAATCAATCACTTGGGCCACTGGGAAAACTGAAGGAGAGAAACGGGAGCCTCCCAGGATACCTTCGGAGATTTACACCAAAAAAGAGGTCCCACAACTACCTTCTCTCAAACTCATCTAATTCCTCAGCTGTTCCTCACTTCCTACCCCCATCCTGCTTGAACTCATGCCACAGGCCATGGGGATCACCACCTAAAGACTGAAAACGGAATCTCCACTCAGTATTCCCGAACATATGAGGAGACGGGAGAGGCAAAAATAAGTATAAGGGAGAAAGAAGAGAGTAAAGCAGAGGCTGAGAAAAAAAAGGGTAGGGTTATGTTCCTGGCATCCACTTGGGAACTCTGAATACATTCTCCTGATACAGTCAGCTAGACCAGTGGGTAGAAATTAGAGTGGGGCCGGATGTGTGTTTAACAGAAGGATATGTTTTCTACTAATAAGACATGCCCTAATGTTAGTAAGCTGCCTTATGTTATAGAGTGCTCCCAGTCACTGGGAAGATTTAGACAAAGTCTGGATTGCCCTGTGCCAGAGATGGAGTTGAATGGACTCCCTTCTTAGATGGAAAATTGAGCTAAATCTCCCTTTCAGAGGGAGAATCTTTGATAAGTTACATATAGTGAATCTACACAGTACCATAGGTATATTTGTAAAGAGGTAATCTATAAACCATTTGAACTTGTTATTGTTCATTCTTTCAGGTACTGATGTGTAAGAGCACTAACAGGACCATTTGAACAAGTTTACTGAAAAAGTAAAATCCCCTCTATCATGGGTCACATAGGCTCTGATGACTAGCCTGGAGAATGGCCTCATGTATGACTTCGTTTCTATTGGAAAGAATGAGTTCAGTAGGGATTCAACACATTTTTACAAATGTTTTCTTTTCCCGACCACATGTGGTAAGCAGAATAATGCATTCCCCCACCAAAAATATTCATGTCATAATCCCCGAATCCTGTGACTGTGTTGCCTTACTTGGCAAAAGGGACTTCACAAGTGTGATTAAGGATACAGGGCTTGAGATGTGGAGATTATCTTGGATTATTTAGGTAAACTCAAACTAATCAAGAGAATGCCAAAAGCAGAAAACATTTTCTAGTTGAAGCCCATCAGAGGAGATATGTCTATGAAAGAATGGTCAGAGAGATGCAACTTCGCAGCCTTCAAAGACGAAGGAAGGGGGCCATGAGCCAAGAAATGCAGGCAGCCTCTACAAACTGAAAAAGGTGAGGAAAGTGATTTACCCCTAATGCCTCCAGAAAGGAATGCAGCACTTGATTTTACCCAATAAACACCTTTATTTTAACCCAGTGAAATTTGCATTGGACTCTTAACCTATAAGATAATACATTATCTTACCATAAGATAATACATTCATGTTTTTTAAACTATGAAGTTTGTAATAATTTGTTACAGCAGAAATATAAAACTAAGATAACACTAAGGTAATGTCTGCTTATTTTAAGAACTTTGGAAATTTTAGAAAACATTTAAAATAGAAACAAAAGTCACCCTTAATTCTACTCCCCTATAATATCCATTATTAACTTTTTGAGGTACATCCTTCCAGTCTTCTTTTTCTTACAAAATTAAAAGCACCTTTAATCTATATTTAAAAACATAAATGTATACTTTTTCCCCATCAAAAGTAGAATCATTCTTCATGTTATTTTTATGATCTGCTTTTCTTCAGTAGTGTGTGAATATTTCCCCACAACATTATATATTTTCCGTAGCAGTGTTATGTTAGTTACATAATATTCCATCTTACAATTTTAAGATCAAAATTATGTGAACAATTCTTTTAGAAATAGACTAGGTTGTACACATAAACTTGTAATTATAGATTGCATATATGTGTATTTTTAAGTTGTACAATTTTATATTATAATGCAGCTATGTTGTACTCACTTAAAACCTGGAACAGTATGTATTATCACAATTATTTTTTCATCACTTTGTCTTTTCAATCCCATTCGAAGACCTTCCCATTTAGAAGTTACAGATGTGTCATCATTACTTATAATCAGTCCTGCATTGGCCAGCAACTGTCAGGATAGAAAAGTTCAAATGGTTTATAGATTACCTCCTTATAAATACTCCTGCTGTACCGTGTAGGGTAGCTATACCTAACTTATCAAAGAATCTCCCGATTCTTTGATAAATGTTGTCTTCGATTCTTTGATAAATATTGTCTTCAAATAACTGAATATTTGAATCTTCTTATCTCCTGATTCTTTGATAAGGGAAGGGAGATTAAGTTCAATTTTCCATCTGCTAAGGGAGTCCACTCAACTCTATCTCTGGCACAGGGCAATCCAGACTGTCTAAATCTTTCCAATGACTAGGAGCACTAAAACATAAGGCAGCTTAATAACATTAGGGCATGTCTTATTAGTAGAAAACATAACCTTCTGTTAAACTCAGGTCTGGCCCCCCTCTGATTTCTACCCACTGATCTAGCTGACCCTTGGAAGAAATATGCAATAAACTTACACCTTCAAATATTCAATTATTTGAAGACAACATTTATAATCTTTAAGAGTGTGGCTCTGCTGAAGGAATGTTGGGATTTTGAGGTCATAGTAGAATTGTAGTTAAGTGTGGTCTCTCTTAAAGACATGTCATATGAACATTCTGTTGCCAGTCCTCAGTAATATCAGGCAATTCACCTAGAATTCAGAAAGCAACAAATAGAACAATTCCTCTCTCTTGGGACTTCATTTTCTTGGATCTGAATTTTTAAGTCCTGAAGATTCTGAAATATTCCAAAGGATTAGGAGTTTAAAATTCTCTCTTCCTCATGGAGGAAAACCAGGAGATATACAAAGAGGTATCCTGCTAGAGGATCCCAGGCTAACGATGGATTAGGGAAGAACAGGCAAGATTATCTAGTTTATATTATTCTATTTCCACTTTGTTAGTGACTTACACTTAATTACAGTCTTAATAAATATTCTAGTTTTGTCTCAACTGTTATCTGGGTATTATGGCAGGAGACTTATTTAAATATAGATCATGAAGCCCCCTTGGTGTTAAAGGGCAGAATTATCCTCCTGGCAGCAGTAATTAGCAAGAGACCTTTAAGGTAGGAATTACACATAATGTCATTTTTAACACCAATACCAATCAATTAGTAGTGGCTGCCTGAAGCCACATCCAGATTCAAGCAGGAAAGAATGCTTTGATCAATTAGTACTCCTATCAATCATGAATACAACAGAGGAAGTGGCAACACTGGTGAATGATGAGTATCATCCCTGACCTAAAGAAAGTTGCATATCAAGGAACAGGGTTAGGGCCTTGGAGGATCTGGGTTTTCTATAATTAAAAAGGACAATTCTTTTTATTAAGGAAGAAAAATATATTAAGGAAGTTATCATTTACCATATAATTTCACATCATAATTTCTTTGGGCAATTGCCTTCATTTCCTTCAAATGTTCATCACCCAACATGGTTTGCAGGTCCTTTGGCATGTGGATTATGCATGATGAGGCACATTCTGGTTTATCTCTGTACATTCTAAAATGCTGTGCCCAGAACTCCCTGGAAAGGGGTGGAATAGGGAACAGCATAGACAAAAAGATATCCCCAAGTAATATTGGAAATGAAGAAATAGAATAAAAACCACAAAACAGCAAGAATAGCCTCCAACACCTTTATTAAATCTAAGAGAAACAGTAGAGGTGTGTCTAACTAGTATGGCACCACCAAAAAGAAGAGGCAGGCAAAGAATCTAAGGAAGATGCCTCCAGTGAAAGAAACTCCAGTGCTAGCCAGAAACTTACAGTCAAGGGTAGGCAAATTTTTATTCTGCATTTGAAAAAGATTGATAATTTAATAATCATTGCAGAAATAAAGGTGAACTACTTCATTAAATAACATTTAAGAAATAAGTATTAATTACAGAGAAATATAATATTAGAGTTTTATATACATAAAGTAAAAGTACCAAGGCTGAAACACAATTGTAAATGTTCAGTACATTCTTGGGCCATTCCAATCTATTCATTTACACCTATGATTATTTTTCAAATGTACCTGAAACTAAAAATCACAGGAAAGAATAAATTTGAAGAGTATCTATTATTCCTTAAGAGAACCATGTGGTCTCTAATTAAAAGCTGTGTAGTCCAAAGACCTCGTATAAGGCTGGCTCAGTCCCAGAAGTAGCTCTCCTGGCTACACGTTAGAGATACCTGGAGAGGTGTTTTGTGCTTGTTGTTTTGTTTGGTTGTTGTTTTTTTTTTTATTTTTTTTTTTTTGAGACGGAGTCTCGCTCTGTCACCCAGGCTGGAGTGCAGTGGCGGGATCTCGGCTCACTGCAAGCTCCGCCTCCCGGGTTCACGCCATTCTCCTGCCTCAGCCTCCCAAGTAGCTGGGACTACAGGCGCCCGCCACTACGCCCGGCTAATTTTTTGTATTTTTAGTAGAGACGGGGTTTCACCGTTTTAGCCGGGATGGTCTCGATCTCCTGACCTCGTGATCCGCCCGCCTCGGCCTCCCAAAGTGCTGGGATTACAGGTGTGAGCCACCGCGCCCGGCCTTGGTTGTTGTTTTTATTAATTCCAAAGTTAGCCAATTAAATCAAGCTTAATCTGCAAAAACCTCTTCAGAGGATTCTAATCAGAAACCAGGTTGAGTCCTACATAAATTCTAACGCAGTTTTGCCTACGTTAGATTTGCTAAATTCAATTCTCTAACAACTACTTAATCCAGCATGCCAGCTGGTAGGATGAAAATTGACCATGAGCTAGGGAAATTAAATTCTTCCTGCTCTGTTTTTATCAGATAACTCCTCTCTGTTCCCAATTAAGCCATGACCCAGTACTTTCTCATTTATGTAAATTGTAGATGATGTGTCCAAGCGAGGAGGACATAAGAGAAGCAAGGTGCCAAATAAAGAATGAGAGGTCAAATGTGTAAGTAATAAAAGTATTTCTTCAATCACGTTTGTCAGTTCAAAGCTACGAAGACTTGGTTCCAAAAGTGCAGATATTTTTTAACAAAGTAAGAGCATTTGGTACATTTTTTGGCAGATGGCAAGATAAAGTCCATTTGCTTAAGAAGCCACTCCTTCTTTGATGTGGTTAATTATGACCTCTTGGGGTACATACCAACCTTATCAAAATCCATCTGGGTAGTGCTGTGTCTTGTAAAAATGCCTCCTCTTGTTTTACTATTAGTATTGCTTTCATGTCAACAGTGTTCTTGACACTGCATAATCCCAGGAAGACGGGGTTCCAAACCAGTGATTTGAAACCTAAATAACAGACTCAGCAATTGAGACATAAAACTACAGGTGGGAATGTGGGCAAATTTGAAGATTGTAAGTTTCATTTCATTTTTCTTCAACCTTCCTTTTGTCGTCCATCAATCTATACTTTTTTTTTTTCTTAGACGGAGTCTCCCTCTGTTGCCCAGCGTGGAGTACAGTGGTGCAATCTCGGCTCACTGCAACCTCCACCTCCCAGGTTCAAGCAGTTCTCCTGCCTCAGCCTCCTGAGTAGCTGGGATTACAGGCACATGCCACCACGCCCAGCTAATTTTTGTATTTTTTTCTTCTTTTTAGTAGAGATGGGGTTTCACCATGTTGGCCAGGCTGGTCTCAAACTCCTGACCTCAGGTGATCTGCCCACCTCAGCCTCCCAAAGTGCTAGGATTACAGGCATGAGCCACCATGCCTGGCCCATACTTTTTCTCATTTTCTTTTCTGTGTTACAGAATACAATTTGCTGACTGTAAGGGGGAGAGTTTTTTTCCCCAAAATGCCAAAGTACATAAAGATAAAGGTGAAAGTTTCCTCTCACCAGTTCCAGTGTTAACAGTGAGGTATGTGTTATTCCAGACATTTGTTCCCATGCGTATACAATACTTAACTTTCACTGTTGCTTTTTATTAAAAATTAAAACCATTTCACACAATATGAGTTTTGTAAAGACTTTTTAGGAAAGAATTTTCTTGTCAGTCTGATGGATTCAGAGGGAAAAGATCTAAAGGATAAGTGTGGGCAAGAGGAAAAGACAAAAATGGAACTAGAAGAAAATGAGAGAAAGTCTTCATCAATAAATGGAGAATTAAAGAAAGACTTCGCTATTGCTCAAACAGTTAAACAGAGGCAACAAAAACAATATGGAAAACAAAAAGTCTCTATCTTATTCTCAGTGGTATGTATACCCAGGGCATCAGAACATAGCATAGTAGGTGCTTAATAAATATTTGTTTACTAAATGAATACCATACAGTCTCACTTGTGTTGCATGGCCTAGATCAAATTAGAACCCAGGAAGGCAGAGGTAAGTTTATAATAGTTAACAAGACAAGAAATTAGCTCAAGGAAAGCATTTTGATATTGAGAGACATATTAACATTTGATGCTGGCTTATACATGTTTAAGAGAAAGAATCCAGAGGTAAAATAATAGGAAAAAGCCAAGATAGATAAAATATAGTTATTAATTACAGCAGATACAGAAGGAAAACTATAAAGTATTTGTTAGAGAACGTAACCAGACAGGGTAAGTTGGGGAGCCCAGAGAATGAATCAACATTTGTGGAGTTATAGCATGTGCCAAACTTTTTTTTTTTTTTTTTTTTTTTTGAGACGGAGTCTCACTCTTGCTGCCCAGGCTGGAGTGCAGTGGCATGACGTCGGCTCACTGCAACCTCCGCCTTCCGGGTTCCAGCGATTCTCCTGCCTCAGCCTCCGAAGTAGCTGGGATTACAGGCGTGTGCCACCATGCTTGGCTAAGTTTTTTTGCATTTTTAGTAGAGACGGGGTTTCACCATGTTGGCCAGGATGGTTTCAAACTCCTGACCTTAAGTTATCGGCCCACCTCAGCCTCCCAAAGTGCTAGGATTACAGGCGTGAGCCGCCGCACCCAGCCAGCACGTGCCAGACTCTTTCACCTGGGTTATTTTATTCATCTGCATAACAAATCTGCAAAGGAGCAATTAATGATCTTCATTTAAAGATATGAAAACTGAGGCTCTGAAAGGTTTGGGGTCTCAAACCTCTTAGATAATAAAGAGCAGAAGCACTTTTCCAAACCAGGCCTTGGTCCTGTAAGCCCAGGCCTCACTCCAATTGACCGAAGCTTCCTCCAGAGCAGTATGTTGTGGGAATAAGCTCATCGGAATTGTAAACAGTAGCGTAGAGTCTCACTATTCAGAGCAAGCTATAGGGACCATTATCATGGGCATCAACTGGAAGCATGATCTTGGGCCCCACTCCAGAATTACTAAGCAACAATCTGTATTTTAACAGATCCCTAGGTGACTGGTATGCATATTAACATTTGATAAGCCCTCATTTGTCTATTTCTTCTTGCAATTAAAGAGAGAGAGAAGCACTCATTAAACATCATTTTCCCTGAATTCAGCACCACCCATTTGGGAGAATTTCAAGGATTCTCTAAAACTAAAATGCCTGGAAACAGTGAGAAGCTAGTTTCCATTAGGTGCCTTGCCAATTGCATACTGGACTCTCTTTAATCATTGCATCCTTGTTATGTACATATCAAATGGTTCATGTAGTGGAACAGAATAAAACAAGTCAAAAGTCAGGATTACTCTGATTCAGTGTAGAGTAGGCTGATACATCTCAGCAACATCCACTTAAAATGCAATTCTCTGCCCACGTTCTTTCCTTTCCTTCCTATCCAAAGATATATGACAGCCAACTTTAACTCCACCTCTACTGCTTAGACCTCAAAAACAACCACTCACAGGCTGTGCATGTGTGTGCTGGGGATGAAAAAGCACATACTTTGGAAACTCTCCCAGAGCTTCTATGCACTACTAGGGTTTAGGTAACCAAGTCTTAGAAGGCCTTATTCTGGTGTGGTCCCTCCCACTCACTCACCCAGAAGATGCAGCTGGCTCTAGACAACTGGAAGTACAGAGCTCTCTGTCATTCAGTACCCAAGGGCCTTGAGAAAGCCATTCGTCCTTTCTGTGCCTCAAATGCCTCACCTGTAAAACGGGCCTTACCTAGTTCACAGGGAGACCAGGAGAATTAATTAGTGTTTGTAAAGCTCTAAGATACCCTAGATGAAAGTGGCTATATAAGTGTAAATGATTATCATTATCATTATTATTATTATTACATAAAGTATGGATGACAGATTAAGTATGGGATTATATGTCAACCTCCTGGGGATGGCAGATTTCTGGATAAACAAAAAGTGCTGTAGACTATTATTATCCACCTGCCTTTCCCATGTCTGTTCAGGAATGCATCATCATGTTCAGTAGGCTAATCATACAGCAAGAAGTCTTCCTTAGTTCACCAGAGATGAATTCAGAAGAAATGGTAATGAATGAAGACTAGAAAATCTCTTAAACTGTGTATCTCCAAGATAAAGCAGAATTTGCTACCCACCTAAACTGTAATCATCTGATAAACGGGGATGGAGCAATTTTGAACCCAGCCTATCACTGAACCAAGTTACCAAGTCAGTCCAATTAAAAGTTTGCATTTTCCTTTCAGACGTACTACAAATGAAAGTATAAATAAATGCTCAGAAAATTTAAAATCTCTGCCAGATGATCCCTCTGCATAACAACAAAGTAAAGGAAATCTGTAGGGGATTAAGGCCACTTCTGTTCACCCTGAGTAAAACTGAATCAGCCTCACAGCAGATGTTCTGTCCTCTTTTTTCCTTTTCTGTTTTTTTTTTTTTTTTTTGCTACAACCTGGCCCTACAGTGTATGTGTGTGAAGAGGCTGGAAGTTCCAGGTGCCAGCCAGGCAGATCTGCCACATATAGAAACCAGAAATTCTAGGAAAAATAGTTAAATAAGAGGTACTTAATGTAGGTTCCCAGCACCCTATGGGCATCGTGGGTCTGAAAGTTTTCATATGCATGTGAATTTTTACACAGCTTTCATAGATTTTCAACAGTTTCTGTGACCTCAAAGGATTAAGATCCAAATGTTTTCCTCCCATTTAATTTCGCTCTCTGTGGACACACACAATTTCAGTTCTCCTGAAATCCTAATTCACAGTGCTTCCTGATACGGAAGTGATACCTGCGTCTGATAACATGGTTTTCCCAACAATTTCTCCACTCTGATATGCTGGCCATTATTAGGAAGAAGCTTAAGTCAACACGAGTCATAGAACCTGAATCTGGTTCTAATTTTATGTTTAGTTAGGAGTATTTTTGGTGTTCCAAACCTTTCTCTATTTGAAATAACATTTGTGCTTTGCTGTTCAGATTTTTTACTACACTTCTAATGCTTACACTGTTCATTTAACTGCCCTTTCACTGGATTAAAATGACCAGACTATGATTGAAATCTGGTGGAGTGGGAGCTCAGTCTGAGAAAGTATGAATCTTTATTTTATTTCAGATAAGCTCCTGGAAAATGTACATATTTTCCAAAGCAATCAATCAGAATTCACTTGGCAACTAAGCAATCCTACAGGCCCCAGTTCCCTTATGTGATTTATGAGACCTTCTCTTTCCAATAAAGTTGAAAGTACCAGGAGAATAGCTTCTCACCCAGCATTTTTTAACTGCAGCTTCCAAGCTAAGCCAAGAATTAGAAAGGCACACAATGGATGCAAAAATTCAGAAATGGAACACATTCTATGTGGAGGCAGAACATCCTCCTTAAATCACTTTCTAGCTCAATGTCTCTGCATTTTTCACTGATGCAAATATTACATGAAATACTGCTTTATACTATAATTCATAAAGGGTCATGCAGCATTGGGTAGTGTGAGTTTTGAGGGTTTTTTTAATTACACAAACCACCTTGAGGGAGTCAAAAGAACATAGGACTGAGAGGCAGGAGGCCTGAGTCCTAGGTCGCTGCTTGCCTCTTGAGTGAACTATCACTGCCCTATTTGTAAAATGAGGAGGGTCTATAGATAGCCTCCAGCTCTAAAGCTCTATACCACTGAACTCTACATGAGTACTCTAAAGATTATTTAGAGGCATCCTGTTGAGATTTCTGATCTCCCTGGCTACCACAAACATTAATTGAAAAGCTGTTTTATGCTAGAAGCTGAGCCTAGTGCAAGATACTCAAGATAAATAAGACATTATCTCTGCCCTTCAAAAAGCTCCCAATCTCGCTGCATACCATTAACATATTATGAGCTTAAGTTAGAAAAATCAGCAAAGTTCCATGGGCACATAGAGGGAGAGAACAAGGCAAGGGCATTTGAAATAAAGGAGGCAGGATTGGATACAATGACTAACGCCTGTAATCTCAGTACTTTGGGAGGCCAAGGTAGGAGAAGGGCTTGAGCCCAGGAGTTCCAGACAAGTCTGGGCAAGATGGCAAGGACTTGCCTCTACAAAAAAAAAAAAAAAAAAAAGCCAGGCGTGGTGATGCACACCTGTGGTTCTAGCTACTTGGGAGGCTGAGGCAGAAGAATTGCTTGAGCCCCAGAAGTTGAGGCTGCTGTGAGCCATGTTCAGGCCACCGTACTCCAGCTTAGGTAAAGGAGAGAGACCCTTTCTCAAAAAAAAAAAAAAAAAAAAAAAAAAAGGAAAGAAAAAAAACAAAGAAAAGAAGAAACAAAGGAGACAAGGCATGCAAAAGCATGGAGAAATGAAATGCCTTGCGTGGTGAGGGACGGGATGAGCAAGCCCAGGATTTGGCCTCCTTCTCTATCCTGGTCAATCAACCCAGGCAATTTGAAAGGAAACCCAGAGGTCTACTTATCTCTCTCCCTCCAGCTAATCTGTGCCCTACTTCCTTTACTCCGGACCCGTCTTTGTCCCTCTAGTTCTAGAGCCAAGCAAAAGGCAGTCCCACCCCCAGAGAGAAGTCCCTAAAGTTCAGTCCTCCTTTATCATTTCTTTACTGCCTGGCTCTGTGTTGTTTATGCCTAATGGCAGAATGGTGGGAAGAAAAACTGGGGTTGCCTTTAACCACTTCTGCTGCAGAGTGAAGAATTACTTCACTTCCATCCAATTTCCTGCTCAACTGTGTTTACTTCTTTCTCATTGTTCTACTTGATTGGTGTTTCTGGAAGAGCTCCTTGCTCCTTCCTCTGTAGAGTCTACTGTCAAATGGCAACCAGATCTCCCAGATCTCTTCTCTGGAGGTGTAGAGTGAGGATGTAGAATGTCTGGGCAAAATACATTGCCAGAAGTATTCATATACATCACTCTTCATAAAATATGATAGTATCAGAAACACGTGTCTATTTTTCTAGCAATGTTTCTGGTATTAACTCACTCTTTCGCTCTGTCTCCCTTATGATTAAGAGAACGTGACTGCTAGGTAACCGAACCAACAGTATAAAATTCAGGATTCACACTCAGATGTCTGTCTAATGCTTATAGCAAGACACTACAGTAACTCAGTATCAAACTAGCAAGCAATTGTGACAATCTACAATTATTATGCTATTAGATAGAGTAACTTTTCCCAATAGTATTTGATCAACTAACAAATGTTCCTCCCAAAAAAGAATTCTGTAATCAAACAATTTGAGGCAGGGTGCAGTGGGGCTCACACGGGTAATCCCAGCACTTTGGGAGGCCTAGGTGGGTGGATCACTTGAAGCCAGGAGTTTGAGACCAGGCCAACATGGTGAAACCCTGTCTCTACTAAAAATACAAAAAATTAGCGAGGTGTGGTGGCACACACCTGTAGTCCCTGCTACTTGGGAGGCTGAGACAGGAGAATAGCTTGAACCCAGGAGGCGGAGGTTGCAGTGAGCCAAGATCACACCCCTGCACTCCAGCCTGGGCAAGAGAGTGAGACTCTGTCTCAAAAAACAAAAGAAACTGAAAAATCAAACAATTTGAGAAAGTCCTGGGTTTAAAAAAGTTAAACAGGTCTCTACTACAGGACTTTTCAGATCCTTTTCAGATCCCTTAATTTGCTAATGTAGTCTGTAAGTCAAGAAAGTAATTCGGCGGTAGCAGCGCGGAGTCGGTAACGTTAGTACGCCGCTGGCACCTACCTTGACTCTCGCTGGCCGCGCAAACCCGTTTGTGCTCGGTATCCTAGTGCACACGCCTTGCAAGCGACGGCGCCATGAGTCTGACTTCCAGTTCCAGCGGACGAGTTGAATGGATGGCAGCAGT
The DNA here is from genome assembly GCF_000001405.40 of Homo sapiens. Lineage (NCBI taxonomy): Eukaryota > Metazoa > Chordata > Mammalia > Primates > Hominidae > Homo > Homo sapiens. The sequence continues at coordinate 42,637,091 of NC_000012.12, read as the reverse complement.
TACCGTTGCTGCTGGGACAGCTGCAATTGGTTATCTAGCTTACAAAAGATTTTATGTTAAAGATCATCGAAATAAAGCTGTGATAAACCTTCACATCCAGAAAGACAACCCCAAGACAGTACATGCTTTTGACATGGAGGATTTGGGAGATAATGCTGTGTACTGCCGTTTCTGGAGGTCCAAAAATTCCCATTCTGTGATGGGTCTCACACAAAACACAACGAAGAGACTGGAGTCAACGTGGGACCTCTTATCATCAAGAAAAAAGAAACTTAAGTGGACAGTTTTGATACTTGTCGTGAAATTACCTGATTGTTTAATTAGAATGACTACCACCTCTGGCTAATTCACCTACCCTGGGTTCTAAATATGGTATATTGCAAACTGCAGCTTTCACATTCATGGCATTTGTCTTACTTGTTGAAACATCGTGGTGCACATTTGTTTAAACAAAACAAAACGAAACAAAAAAAGAAAAAAAAAAGAAAGTAATTCACAAATTTACTAGATTCCTTTTTGCCAAAGTACATGTGAATCACTCTGAGAAACTGTTGAAAATTCATATTACCAAGCCCCTCAGAAGCAGCCCTGGAGCCTGTACTTTAACACCCCAGGTAGTTCAGATGCAGATGATCTGCACACTGAGAAATACTGACATGAAATGTTTCCCTAACTAGGGTTCTTGGAACACACTTTGGGAAATGCAAATGCTGGTGCAGGGAATTAACTCAAGGTCAGTCCCCAAAAGTGCTTGTTTCGTTCCAATACATCACAGTTCTCATTCACGTTAATTTAAATAGCTTGTTCTGTTATAGTTGCAAGATGACAACTCACTATTGAAAAAGGGGCAAACTAGCAATAGAATTAAGAGGAGGCAACCAGCTATTGACAAGGAAACCCCTAAAAGAGCTAATAATGGCAGCGTCAAGGTTTTTATTATTTAGTTTATTTCTAAACATAATCATCCAAATCAAAACAGACTTTTTCTAACCTCTTTTTAAGCCAGAGAAAGAAAAGAACACTTTATTTCAGGGATGGTAAATTTAAATCATCTTAGCACTTGGCAAGTTATGAGGTTTGGCCTCATAAGATTTTTGTGAATGTTGACTATTAACCACCAACACTTCCGAGCTATCAACAGTCAAGTACCAGAAACCGAAAACACCGACGGGATTTTGATTCTTTTGAATCAACAATATGCGAGATGGGTCATAACTACAGTGAGCCAGGAATAAAATGTTAAATATGCACTTCAGCTGTGTCAAATTGGAGAGTATTCCTAATATCTCAGTAGGACCTACTCCAGACTCATTCACTAATTAGCAAATACCACCTCAGGGTGCACCATGGGGACATCACGCTGGTAAAATGAAATCAATATTTCAAAGGGAGAAAGTACAGTGTTCTTAAAAGGCAGAGTAACTATATCTTAACAGGGCTTTCTAGACACAGTGCTGTGGTTGAATATAGATAATAATCACTATCTGAGGATAATTAAAAGTTGGTTTAAAAAATTATTTTAAAGTGGATCAGCTTAAACACAATATTTTATTTTCAAAAGAAGGGGGGAAATCTTGTAAAATGAGTGAAATTATTAACATCAGTTTATTTCATCTGTCTTATGGCTTAAATTTTGGCTACAAGACATTTAATGCTAACATTATACAGGACTGAATGTTTTGAAGATAAATTGTGTGAATTCATTATGGAATATTTTTTATTTGACTTCTTGTCAAAGATAGTAACTATGGGCACTCAAATATTATCTAAGAAGTTCCTCCTCTTATTTAATTTTGAAATCAGATATCATTAAGCTACAAGGGGGTCTTAGAGATTATAGAGTCTGTATTATCAAAAGACTTTTATTTATAGATTATAGAAACCTAACGTGGATTAAGCCAGTTTCTCATCCAACTAAAATACCAAATACATACATTAAGAGTTTTGTCTTTTTTTTTTTTTTTTTTTTTTTTTTTTTTGATACAGGGTCTGTCTCGCTCTGTCACTCAGGCTGAAGTGCAATGGCACGATCTTGGCTCACTGTAGCCTCCACCTCCTGGGCTCAAGTGATACTCCCACCTCAGCCTCCTGAGTAGCTAGGACTTCAGGTGCATGCCTACACATCTGGCTAGATTTTTATTTTATTTATTTATTTATTTATTTTGAGATGGAGACTGCTCTGTCACCCAGGCTGGAGTACAGCAGTGCAATCTCGGCTCATTGCAACCTCCACCTCCCAGGTTCAAGCAATTCTCCTGCCTCAGCCTCCAGAGTAGCTGAGATCACAGGCATGCGCCACCATGCCCAGCTAAATTTTTTTTTTGTATTTTTAGTAGAGACAGGGTTTCACCATATTGGCCAGGCTGGTCTCGAACTGCTGACCTCAGGTGATCTGCCCACCTCAGCCTCCCAGCCTGCTGGGATTACAGGCATGAGCCACTGCACACGGCATAAATTTTTAATTTTTTGTAAAGACAGGATCTTGCTATGTTGTCTGGGCTGGTCTCAAACTCCAAGGCTCAAGCAATCCTCCTGTCTCAGCCTCCCAAAATGTTGAGATTACAGGAATGAACCACCACACCAAGCTTGTCTCTATTTTTATTTGTCAATTATACCTCCATAAAGCCAAAGGAAAAATAAGAATCCCATCATTCTGTAGCCCTCAGCTCTACTTTTCTTTTCACTAGCAGAGTTCTTGGGCAAGCCCTCCCCAAATGACCGAAATGGCCCTCCTGCTACTCCAGGACTACATTTTACCAGCATAGTGACAAAGTAAAAAGCAAATGATTAGTTCAAGCCAGTGATGTGAAGGTAAGTGTTTAACTTTCCAGAAAAAAAAAAAATCTGGTTTATAACATTTGCCAATTTCCATGGTATAAATACTCCCACCCTGGCCAATTTCAACCTACCAACTTAACATCACTAAACATGGAGTTGAGAGGAGATGTGCAGTAGTCCATTCTGTAGTATTTCCACCATATAGAGTGAAAACACATAAATAACTCAAGATAATAGGTAATATAAGATGTAGTAAAATAATAAGGCAGCTGTGAGTTTGAAGTATTCACCTACCTTTGTTTTAATATACTTTAATTGTAAGTTTATATAATCTAATTGTTAATAATGGCTGTGTTTAACAACTGATTGACAAAACTCCTAGAAATTTAATAATTGGCTCTTGCGGACCAATATGAGCCAGCGCACCACCAGCCCTGCAGAAATCCAGGAGGACAGCTCACAGGAGCCTGATTTGGGTCACATGGCTATTTTTAGATTCATCTCCGGGTCCAAGAGGCTGTGGTGCTCTGACTGGCCCACGCTGGCCATGTGTCTGGGATAGACTTAGGCTGCAGACACATTGACTGATGATGGGAGACAGTGGCTCCACAACAGAAAACAACAGGGGGAAGAGGCTGGGCAGGCAAAACAACATATATCCATTTTAACAGTGGAAATACCTCACATAAAAGTAAGTGGGACAAGCACAGACTTCATTGTCCACTTTGAGAGTAAAAGAAAATGCTATTAATTATTATGCTTGTGCCACAGACATAGAGCAAGACGTATGGTCACACTACGAATAAAGAATACTAGGCCCAGGTAGAATAACTGGCTGGCAGAGCCACACACATCAAATGAGCAGCACAGCCAGGGCTAGGGACCAGATTTTCAGATTACCAGTTCAGTACACTACATAGACCTCAACTGTAATGGTGTTCCATTTTTCTTTCTTTGGGATGGTTTTCAAATAGAAAATCCCCCTAAATGAAGGAACAGAATATTCTTAGTGGCTGATGTGATCTGAACTCCTCTTTTTTAAATTATGTATTGTGCTTTTTTAGATTATGTATTATGTATTGTGCGTTTAATGTTTTTTTTTGGATTTCACTTGATTGTTTTAGAGCCTGGGTCTTGCTCTCCTGTCCAGGCTAGAGTGCAGTGGCTGTTCATAGGCATAGTCATAGAGCACTATGGTCTCCAATTCCTGGGCTCAAGTGGTCCTCCTGCTTCAGCCTCTCAAGTAGCTAGAAATACAGGCACCATGCCACTGTACCTGGTTTGCATTTATTAGTTTCTTACCCAATGTTTTAACTCACCATATATTACTTACAGGAATACAGAATTTTGAGGACAGTTTGACAAAACTAACAAAAGCCTTTGAATTCCATATACACAATTCCATATACACTTTGACCTAACAATTTAACTTCTGTGAACTAGTTTAAGAAAATAATCACAGATGTGTTCAAATATTTTACTTTAAGGATGTTCACTGTAAATTATTAATAAGAGTTAAAAAACCGGAAATAATTTAAAAGGTCAATAGACAAATGGTTAGACAAATCATAATATGTCAGTCTACTAAAGAGCCATAAAAATGATGTGGACAAAGAAAAAAGAAATGAAGTCCACAACATATGATCCCATTTTTTACAGGGGAAAACATGTCTGAAAGGATAGGCCATACCAAAATATTAACAATGATAATATCTACATTGAACAAAAGTTGTTTTTATATTTTTAAAGATTATCGCTTTTGTATCTTTTTAAAGATTATTAAATACCCAAGCCACCCAACTATTTTATTTTAACTATGCTCTGTTCATTGTAATATATTGGCTTTCTTACTGCATTCACCCTGGTTTAAAATCATTTCAAAACTATTTACTGGAGGTGGGTTTACCTTGTGGCAAAAATAAAAGCAAAGGAGACAGTGTTAAAAATACATCTAAAGAAAAATTCGTGTGTAAACATTCAGGATAAGAAGTCTGAATTCCCTGGCCTACAACTCTACCATTTTCAACTTTGTGTGCTGACTTTTTTACAATTGTTCTAAATTTACTTAAAACTGCAAACTTTGGGAAACTATTGTAAAACAACAGAAATAGATGTCAACTCAGATTATTTCCAAGAATCTCCCCTGCTTTCTCATGTAAAGGATGAATTCAGAGAGCCATGGGCTTTTAAGAATCCAGCAAAGTCTCACTGAGGTTTGACAGAGCCTCCAAATACAGTTTATAAAAGAGTCAAACGACCTAATTTTAAAATTCATATGACCAGAGGAAATTGAAGGAATAAAATTAAGTAGAGAATATGAAACAGAGAGGGGAACATTACAGTAAATGTCTTTCTTTAAAGTCATTTAAAGAAAAGTGTATGAATGTAAAGGTTTAAAAAACATTTCTTTTGCAAGTCACAGTGAATTTTTAAGCTATCCAAACTCATCTAATTGAAGACAAAATATTGCCCAAGCAACACACATATCCAGGAAGCCCTGAAGGTAGAAATCCACTTCCCTAGAAACATATTTATTTCACTCTTACAGCAACAGAAGGAGTGAAAGTAGAAACAAGGAAGCTTCAAGGCTCAGATTTTTAAGTTACAGCTATTGCATCAGAAAGAGGACTATACTTAGAAAATGAAAATATGGGTTTGGATCTTGGCTCTGCAATTTACCAGCTGTAATTTTTTTTTTTTTAGTTGTAGACACAGGGTCTCTCTGTGTTGACCAAGCTGATCTCAAACTCCTGGCCTCAAGCCATCCTCCCACCTCAGCCTCCCAAAGTGCCGGGATTGAAGGTACAAGCCCATCATGCCCTGCCTTCAGCTCTATTACTTTGGAAAGATCATTTAGCCGGTCTAAATCCCAATATTTTGGTGTTAAAATGCTAACAACTATACGGTTGTTATGAGCACAATGGCTGGTACATACTGTATTCTCAATAAATATTTGTTAAATGAGTAAATGATGTTTGTGAAATTACTTTGCAAGCTGTGCAGATAATCATACACTCATGCACTTAACACCACTTGACCCAATAACATATATTACTGATTTATTTTGTGTATATTCTACCTTCCCCAACTAAATGCAAGCTCCATTAGGGAAGGATTTTTTTGTCTTTTCTGTTTCAGGTCGTATCTCCAGAAACTAGAACCGCTCCTTGCACATACGAGGCACTTAACGAATATTTGTTAAATAACTTTTTGTGTAAGTGCTTGTCACATGCTAAGCCCTTAATCAATGATATCCAGTATTGTTATTCACCTGTAAAGCATCGTACGAATGTTAAGTATTCCAGGCCAGACGCGGTACCTCACGCCTATAATCCCAGCACTTTGGAAGGCCGAGTCGGGCGAATCACCTGAGGTCAGGAGTTCAAGACCAGCCTGGCCAACATGGCAAAACTCCGCCTCTACTAAAAATACAAAAATTAGCTGGGCATGGTGGTGCACACCTGTAGTCCCAGCTACTCAGGAGGCTGAGGCAGGAGAATTGCTTGTACCTGGGAGACAGGGGTTGCAGTGAGCTGAGGTCACACCACCGCACTCCAGCCTGGGTGACAGAGCGAGACTCCGTCTCAAAAAAAAAAAAAAAATTATGTATTCCCAAACATCCTGAATCATCCTCTTCTACCCTACTTTGTTTTAGCTTTAATATCATGCTAATCCTTCCTCACTAACTATATCACCAAGAACAATTTCTGAGAGCCTCCTGAAGTCAACCCATACATATTTATCTCTTAAGATCCTTTCCCATAAATCTGTCCTTCATGCCATTAATCATTTCTGTTTGTGAATTGTTTTCACCTTCTAGAATTTAAAACAAGGGCCTTACGGCAGAGATATGGAAATGGCAGTGAGAAGGATTATGTTTCAGGCTCTCCTCATATAATCTTGATAAGACATCTACAGCAGAAAGAGCTTTTGGGCTCTGAGAAACAAATGCTCTAGCACAGTAAATGCAATCTTCTCTTAACAGGAATTCTGTCCCAGTCTTTCTAGAATCTGTTTGAACTGCACAGGTACACATGTTGGGATGAGAAAGCTAGAGAAGAATTTAAATAGACCAACTTATATTTCATCAAGGAAGCTGATTCCCCTTTTCCCTGAGTGTAAGCTCCTGTAGGGTAGGGATCTTTCTCCACCTGGTTCATAGCTGCATTCCAGCAGCTAGCACAGAGCCTGTAACACACTGTCCTTCAATAAACAGTTGTGAAAAGAAATATTTGCGGAATGAACTTACTCTCTGATTAGATTTCAGAATACAAAGCTGCTCCTGGACAGTGGAAAGACAGGTCTATGAGAAGGCCTGGAATCCGAGAGACAGTCATAATCTTAACAGAGTAGAATGGAGATGTAGCAAATGGGTGCACGGAAAGGGGAACGTTGGTTTGTTACTAAAGAGAAGAAAATATATCTGATAGGTTAATCATTCCTCAGAAAGAGCTGCCTGATGATGGTAGAGCCACATCTTTTGGGAGGCTGTATCTCCTAACCCAAGGCAAACACACATTCAAACGTAGTAGGTCAGCCAATAAGAAGAATGTTGGTTTCTATGTTTTGAAAAGCAACTCCTAAAAATGTCAACCTCTCTTAACATGATTTGTTCTTTGTCACTTAGAATAACTACAACCGAGAGGGGGAAAAAGGAAGGCTAAAATCAGATTTCCTCACTTGGTGCCTCAAAGCAGCTTCAATTTGACCTATTTTGGAAGGATTCATCAAAAAACAAATTTTTGTTTCCCTCTCAGACAAGTACCGTTGTCTCAATGCACCTTTCATGTGCATTCTAACTTTGACAGATCATTGAACGGGAGTTGGGAAACTCCACTTACCAAAGAGAAAAGGTACTTTTTAAAACACCTCATAGTTACCTAAAAAGCTTCTCTCATCTCAAAAGTTGTGACTTCCTCCGTTTCTCTCACTGTTGACACCTCAAGGTGGTAAAGTTAGTTCTGCTCTGTGCAGCACTCTTAAAAAACAATGTACCTTTCAGACTCCTGAGTGTAAAAAGAACATAAAGTTGCATTTCCTTTCAAAAGCATTACAACAGGCTCCTAATAAAGACTCCATAGAGATTTCCTATAAAGCAAGGAGCTGTGAAAAGGCCTAGCATTTACTGCCATGTGACAGTGATGCAAATTGAAATGAAGCTCTAGGCTGCGCACGGTGGCTCACGCCTGTAATCCCACCACTTTGGGAGGCTGAGGTGGGCAGATCACCTGAGGTTGGGAGTTCGAGACCAGCCTGGCCAATATGGTGAAACCCCGTCTCTACTAAAAATACAAAAAATTAGCTGGGCGTGGTGGCGGGCACCTGTAATCCCAGCTACTTGGGAGACTGAGGTGGGAGAATCGCTTGAACCTGGGAGGCGGAGGTTGCAGTGAGCTGAGATCGCCCCAACTGCACTCCAGCCTGGGTGCAACAGAGGGAGACTCAAAAAAAAAAAAAAGTTCTAAATGATACACCTTGTTAATGTGCTGCAATTCTTTATCAACACTATGGAAATTGAAATGTTTCCTTTATCCTTAACTTTCTTGAAACGACGACCCAAATTCCCTTAACACATAAGCAGGAATGGGCAGGATTTCTACAGAAAAAAAAAAGAGTTTGGCTTTGGAGTGCATGATATATAGTAAATACCAGATACATTTTGCTTTATCTAGACGTTGCCCTTGGTCCCCTGCTCCGCATTGCTGTTCACCTGCCTTGCAGCTAACAGAATCCTCTACTTTTCTGAGAGGCAGTCTACCCAGACTAGGCTGCAGGACGTTGAGGCACTAGATGCTTATGATCTAGGCTTCTCCCAACTAAATGAAACCCTCATTTAAAATTTAACATCTTCCCATGCATAGTTTGTACTTCACATAGCATTTTCACAGGCATTATTTTATTGAATCCTCACCATAACATTGTGGAGTTTAAATTATTAACTCCTTATTCTACATGAGAAACAGGAGTAGAGAAATTATGACTTGATCGTACAGAAAAACAATGGCCAAATTGAGACTTTTTGAAAAAACGATTTCTGTTTACAGTGTCAAAGCTCCTTTCACTATACCCCAGTTGTCTCTGAGAAAATCTTTATGTAAACCCACAGGTCAGAATATCGGGCAGATGAACTGGCTAAATCCAAATATAGAAATATAGAAATAACCTGTTATATCGAATTCTTGCTCTTTTGTTTTTCCACATCATTTTTCATGTCATCACTTACCCCTGTTCCCAGTCATTGCAAAGTCATGAGTAAAAGTGGAGTAGAAGAGTAGAAGATTAACTTTGGAATTATTTTAGTGTTTTTGTGTTTTATATTAAACATCATTTAAGTAAGGCTAATTTTTTTTAACTTCTTGAAAGAATTCTCTCCATCCCTTTTTATTTAAATGTAAATTGCAAAATGAAATCACTAATTCGATTGATTTTTCATCAGATACCTGTGGGCCATGAAATCAATTATTCCTCATTCTGTGAGAGTGGTCCATCAAAAGAATAAAGTAAAACAAAATTAAATTAAATAATATTGGGTTTCATACCAATTATTCCCTTTCAAATTACAATTCTTGCAATTAAATCACACCAAAATGTGAATGGACTAATTGCAGGTCTAAGTTAACAATGCACAAGGTTTATAACCTGCAGAGAGTACTTGTCACAGACAATGACAGCTACCACTGTCAATTTTTTTTTGTTTTTTATGGTTTTTTTCTGTAGCCATGACTGTCATCAAAACACAAGGATATTTCAGTAATTGCTGACTTTTTTTCCTCAAAGATCATGTACAATTAGCTCAGATAGAATAATTAACTTCGGATAGACTATTTAATGGTTAAAAGTTTCTAGGAGAGCACTTTTAACTTATAACACAATTTTGGAGGAAAACTTCTATGCTTTCTGGTGTGAGATTTTTTTGGCTCAGTTTTTCAAGACCCACGTCTGCGTTTTGTTGCATGTTGGAAAGCTTCCTGTCCTTTGGAGAGTAGGGCTTTGATTTGAAATGTGTAGCTGGCTTCAGAGAGCCACGACCTGCCCCAGCTGTTGGAGAAGCTGAAAATAAAGGGAATCAACAATCAGCCAATCATCCAAGCCAGCAACCTGCTCGCTGTGGCTACCAGCCTCCCCACCACTATTTACGTAGCCTCTATCCTCCTAAGGCTCCTTCACAAGATGGCAGAGACCGAAGCAGGTGAAGCCCCAACTGAGAACCCTGCTCCCACCACTGAGCAGAGCAGCGCTGAGTTACACCAGGCACCTTCGCCATCATCAAGGCAACCTAAAGAATTAATGACCACTCAAAAATAACATAAGGCAAAAAGCAGACCTCGATCTTACCAGCATCAAAGAAACATCTGAGCAAGAAAGTGGAAGACTAACCAAGATTTGGACATTAGAACGTTTACTATTATTCTTTAAGAAAATAACAACTGCAAAAGGAAAATGACAGCAAATTTTTCCAGTAAGCTGAGACACTGGGAATGCGTGCACAGCAAAAGACAAGACAGCAACCTCTCCAGTTTTCAGCAAACTTAGGGTTGTTTTTCCCCATTTTTTACGGTTTTGGTTATATAAATTGAAAGAAGCAATATGTGAATTCAAAGAAGAAATATTAATACCACCTCAGGAGAACCCCAACCAAAAAAAATCTGAAATATATAGCAAAGGCTTTTTATTTTATTTTATTTTTGTGTGTTCATTTTGTATGCTGGTGCTAAACTTCCAAGTGTTCTGATTTAAAAAGAAATTTTATACCCTTCTTATTTATCTCTGGGATGTGGGGAGAATAACATTTGTACTTTCTTATGAGACTTTCTTTGAAAATGTGCAGTAAGGCCGGGAGCGGTGGCTCAAGCCTGTAATCCCAGCACTGCGGGAAGCGGAAGCTGGTGGATCACCTGAGGTCAGGAGTTTGAGAACAGCCTGGCCAACATGGTGAAACCCAAAACCCCGTCTCTACTACAAAGTTACCTGGACATGGTGGTGCACGTCTGTAATCCCAGCTACTCTGGAGGCTGAGGCAGGAGAATCGCTTGAACATGCGAGGCAGAGGTTGCAGTGAGCCGAGATTGCGCCACTGCACTCCAGCCTGGACAACAGAGTGAGACTCCGTCTCAAAAAAAAAAGAAAGAAAATGTGCAGTAATAAATTCCTCAGAAATAAAATATTTACCCTTCAAAGGAAAAAGAAAAGCATTTTACATATATGTACATATATTAAGCTATTTGTACCTGAAAGCAGTCATGGAAGGTAGTGCTAAAGTATGCTCCTGGGTGACAGGCAAAATGGATTCCCCATGGCTAAGGTGCTCAGATTTAAAACAGAACCAGGTGGTCACGCTGGGTGAGGGAGCTGTCACACACTCTGTGTTATCAGAAAGATGTTATAAAATGTCACAGGATCTCCCTTTCTGAAATCAAGCCAAACAAGTTCCAGTTGTCAGTGCCAAAATAAACTGTGACTAGAAAAACCACCACCACCCCAGCCCCACTTCCAGCCAATTGAAAAGAACGTCTGACAGAGACGTCTGGTTTTAGACTTGGAAACCAGCCAATCAAGGCTCACCAGCCCCAGCCAATCAGGGCTCAGCTGTAACAACCAATCAGAACTAAGAAAGTGTCAATCTGTCATTTGCATAAACAGACCTGATTAGGAACCTGGACAGGAACTGATTGGATTTTTTGTTTTTTGGTTTCTGGTTTTCGTGGGTTTTTTTAGATGGAGTCTTGCCCAGTTGTTGGCCAGGCTGGAGTGCAATGGTTTGATCTCAGCTCAATGCAACCTCTGCCTCCTGGCTTCAAGCAATTCTCCTGTCTCAGCCTCCCGAGTAGCTGGGATTACAGGCAAGTGCCACCACACCTGACTAATTTTTTTTTAAATCTTTAATAGACTTGGGGCTTCACCATGTTGGCCAGGCTGGTCTCGAACTCCTGACCTGGTGATCCGCCCACCTCAGCCTCCCAAAGTGCTGGGATTACAGGCATGAGCTGCTGCGCCCAGCTGTGTTTTTTGTTTTTTTAAGAGATGTGTCTTGCTCTGTTGCCCAGGCTGGAGTGCTGTGGCACAATCATAGCTCACTCTAGCCTCGAACTCCTTTGCTCAAGTAATCATCCTTCCTCGGCTATTTGGGAGGCTGAGACATGAGAATTGCTTGAACCCAGGAGGCAGAGGTTTCAGTGAGCTGCGATCGCACCACTGCACTCCAGCCTGGGTGACAGAGCGAGACTCTGTCTCAAAAAGAAGAAGAAGAAGAAAGAAGAAGAGGAAGAGGAAGAAGAGGATGAAGGAAGAAGAAGGAAGAAGAAGGCAAAGAGATTTTAGGTTACTCAACTTACTATATAGGGAAATCAAACCCAAGCACTGAGGCTCAAAAGTCCTGGTACTTAATGTCTTTTGTGCCTACTCCAGCATGGAAAGAGAAAAACCCCTGGGGGTTTCACGCCCAAGAAATGCTGAGAGCACCACAGAGGCCTAGGTTCTGAACAGACTGTGCCAGAGTTTTGGGTGCAGAATCCTGGGGACTGGAGGCAGTGGTTAACAGCAGTGTTAACCAATAGATGGGGAAGATTCAAGTGCATAAGAAAAGCCAGTGTCAAGGCACGTTGCATTAACTTCAATAGATGCAAGAACGGCCCAGGCGAATACACAGGATGGGGCAGGACAAGACAGTTCACCAGGACGGGATGCTCACTCTGCTGCAACTGAATACCATGCTGCAAAGGTGCGGTGGGAGGAGGCCCTTGAGAATGGTAAGGAGGAACCACTAAGACAAGACATCATTTCAAGTAGAAGAAACTCCTATACCCTTAATCAGTAAAATCAAGTGTTTCCTTCCTTAAGGAAGCTGGAGACCTAGATCATTAGTTCATGTGGTAAAAAATAAATTTGCAGGCTCATGTCTGCCCACGGTTTTCCACTCTCTGTTCTCTCTTTCTGGAATGTTCTACCCAGGTCTTTATAGTCTTTCCCTGGCTTCATTTGGATGTCTGTTCAGATGCCACTGCTCAGAGAGATCCCCACTGCTTCCGTGCCCTTTCTCTGCTATAATATACCAATCATTCCCTGTAATCACTTTGTTCATTAATCTATCCCTCAACTAGAATGTATGCTCTGTGAGGATAAGGACTTGTCTCCTTTACTGCTTTATCCTCAATGCCTAAAACTGTGGTCAATGCACAGTAGATGCTTAGTAAATATCTGAATAATGTATTCATGTCAACCACACTGCATTCACATTTAGCATGATAATGCTAGAAGGGAACGTAGAATTCAATCTGGTGGCTCCAAAATGATTTTTTTTTCTTTTAATCGGCAGTAAGTATTCTTTAAAGACTGTGGTAAAATCAGAAAAAGTCCTAACAGGTCTGCTTGTGCCCTGGAAGTGAGGGATGGGGCACTTTCTAGGAAAAGTTTTAGAAAACTGTTTAGAGACCACTTATCTAGACCAGTTGCTTCATTTTTCAATTGAGGATATTGAAGCCCAGAGAGGTTAGATAATTTGCTGAAAGTCACTAAGTCCAAAGTTAGTTAGTTTTCATGAGCTTCAGTCTAAATGAACACTATATTTGCAAGTTACTTCTTTTGCACCAGGCAGAGTAAAGATTCTGGTTCCAGAAGTAAGACCATCGTTTAGATTTCATGTGATGTAAACTACCCTGCCTGCAGACTCCAAGGGTCATGAAATTTCTTGAATATTACAAATCCAGGCTCCAGGTGAAGAATGCCGTTTCTTAGTTTTCTGATCTAACAACTAAAATTTGGCAAACCAGCTAATGGTATGATGTGTGTTTCCTCTACCTTCTGAAGGGAATCAAAATATTTTTCCCCAAAATATATTTCTTTGACATATTTTGGAATGACAACCAGAGAACCAGCAAAATGAGGTAACACCCTCGAAACCTGTCTTTTGCTGGGAAAATTGTAACCGCCCAATGGGTTCACCTTGCCCGCTGCCTAGACAGAGCTGATTTATCAAGACAGGGGAATTGCCATGGAGAAAGAGTAATTCACGCAGAGCCATCTGTGTAGAAGACCAGAGTCTTATTATTACTCAAATCTGTCTCCCCAAGCATTCAGGGATCAAAGTTTTTAAAGATAATTTGGTGGGTTGGAGCTTGGGAAGTGGGGAGTACTGATCGGTCAGGTTGAAGATGGAATCATGGGGGTCATGGTGAGTTTTTCTGTCTTCTGTTCCTGGGTGGGATGGCAGAACTGATTGAGCCAGATTACCAGTGTGTGTGGTATCAGCTGATCCATCCAGGGCAGGGTCTGCAAAATATCTCAAGCACTGATCTTAGGTTTTACAACACTGATGTTATCCCCAGGAACAATTTGGGGCGGTTCAGACTCTTGGAGCCAGAGGTTGCATGACCCCTAAACTGTAATTTCTAATCTTGTAGCTAGTTTATTAGTCCTGCAAAGTCAGACTGGTCCCCAGGCAAGAAGGGGGTCTTTTCGGGAAAGGGCTGTTATCAATTTTGTTTCAGAGTCAAATCATGAACCGAATTCCTTTCCAAAGTTACTGCGGCCTACGCGCAGGAATGAACAGGGACAGCTTAAAGGTTAGAAGCAAGATGGAGTGGGTTAGGTTTGATTTCTTTCACTGTCATAATTTCCTCAGCTATAATTTTGCAAAGGCAGTCAAATGTTGCATCTATAGATAATCCGCATTGATGCAGCCAGGCCTTCCCTTGTCCACGTCCAGCAAAGATTAACTGAGAGTCCGACATCTCGAAAGGCCTAAGGAAACAGTTACTAGTTCGTCTATCTGAGGGCTGCTACCCATGAGGTGTCATTTACATAACAAGACCACCTTTGCTAGCCAAGTCTCTTCTCTTCCTCCCATAACCTGTCTTGCCACTAAAACCTGACTTACACCATATGCTGTTTTTGGCCATGCACAAATCCCCCATTCTCTCTGTAACCTCAAGATGGTATAGAAGTTTCTGCGACCCACTAGGGGATTGGGTCTTCATTCTGAAGTCTCCCCATCTACAGCATACACATTAATAAATTAGCATGCCTTTCTCCAATTAGCCTGCCTTTTGTGAGTTGACTTCTTTTTTTCAGCAAACCTATCCCTTTGCTCCTAGAGTTTGGCTTAGTTGGTAGGGTCAAAATTCCATTCTTCTGGAAGCTACAGATAAGAGAATCTAGGACCTGATCCATGGGCAAAAGGGTAAGAATTTCTTACAGCCAGGCTCCCAGGATCTCTCTCTGTACAATCCAGTCAAGTGGATGGCAAAAATCACTGTTGCCTCTGCAAAATTCTGATTAATGGGAGAAGAAGACTTATGTGACTAGTCTTGGTGCAGTGACTCTAGCGTACTATTTGGTACTTTGTGATACAAATATTCATATTGTTTGATATCTTTCCTCCCAGAAATAGTCCTTTCCTTTGACTTTGGCTGTCATAAAGAGGGGCACTGGTTGAGGCTCCCTCTGTTTTTGTTCCATGTCCCTGAGAGTTTGACTTGTGACCAAATGGAAGCACTCTCTCTTGGTCTCTGCCATCCAGGGCACATGATTTTCAGATCACATTAGGTGGTCAGCCTGAAAATGACCTGGAACCCAAGATTTTCATTCCGAACGTATGATGCTTTTGGGATAGTTTGTCTTGAGATGTTCCAACCCTACAGGACTTATGTCATTTCCATTCTTGTTGCCTGGTTAGTGCCAGAAAAGTCCAATTCCAGGAAGGCATATGGGGTGTCTCAGATTAGCAGGTCTGTGACTGGTGTCCCCTTATAAATTTGTGGGTTACTAGAGGCAAACACCATCCTTAAACATCTGTCACAACAAATGCCTTTCGCTGTCTTAGCCTAATCCTGGTGTCAGAGGCAACTCCATCTTGAATAGGGGCTAGGTAAAGTAAAGCTAAGACATGCTGGGCTGCATTCCCAAATGGCTAGGCATTCTAAGTCACAGGATGAGGTAGGAGGTCGGCACAAAATACACAAGGTCATAAAGACTCTGTGGATAAAACAGGTTGCAGTAAAGAAGCCAGCCCACCAAAACCAAGATGGCAACAAGCGTGTCCTCTGGCTGTCCTCACTGGTTGTCCTCACTCCCACCAGCGTCACGACAGTTTACAAATGCCATGGCAATGTCAGAAAGTTACCCTATATGGTCTAAAAATAGAAGGCATGAATATTCCTCCCCTTGTTTAGCATATAATCAAGAAATGACCACCAGCAGCCGTCGAGGCTGCTCTATGGAATAGCCATTTTCTTTTCTTTTTTTTTTTTTTTTGAGACAGAGTCTCACTCTGTCGCCCAGGCTGGAGTGCAGTGGCATGATCTCGGCTCACTGCAACCTCTGCCTCCCAGGTTCAAGCTATTCTGCCTCAGCCTCCCTAATAGCTGGGACTACAGGTGTATGCCACAATGCCTGGCTAATTTTTGTATTTTTATTAGAGACGGGGTTTCACCTTATTGGCCAGGCTGGTCTCGAACTCCTGACCTCGTGATCCACCCGCCTCGGCCTCCCAAAGTGCTGAGATTACAGGCATGAGCCACCACGCCCGGCCGGAATAGCCATTCTTTTATTCCTTTACTTTCCTTTACTAATAAACTTCCTTTCACTTTACTCCATGGACTCGCCCTGAATTCTTTCTTGGGCAAGATTCAAGGACTCCCTCTTGGGGTCTGAATCCAGACCCCTTTCTGGTAACATTGGGAGTGGATTTTTTTTTTTTTTTTTTTTTGGGTGGGGGCAGTCTTTGGGTTTGCTTCTTCTATGCCCTCTCCAGGAAGCACCTTTTTTTCTAAACTTGGAAAATTACATCCTGGGCTTTCCGTAAAAAGGCAATTGGATTGAGTTGCTATTGGAATAATTTCCACTGGAAATTCTAGTTGTCAATGGCCAGAAGATGGATACTTTAAATTAGACTCCTAAGTTTAAAACAAACAAACAAACAAACAAACAAACAAAAACAGAGCTCTCTTATTCTAAATAATTGATGGGAAAATCAAATTAAAAGAAAGACACATAATACTGTCATGACCAACCTTAGAAATTCTCGTGATCAAATTAAATAGTAAAACTCTGACCTAAAACAAAGTTAAAATCCTGCTCTAACTGCTCTAACTGCCTACTTTGGATCCCTGCAGGATTAACAATGAGGGCTGCTTCGCTTTGTAATCCAAAAGTTAAAACGTTCCCCAAAAGCAAGAAACTATTAACTATTAGACTACCACACAGCTTGGATTAGATTTCCAGTAAGGAAATCCGTCCTTTTCGGTTTGTTTGTGTGACTTTTTGGGATGCCCATTCACCTCTCTGGAATCACCTCATGCATCCTTGGTTAAGTCATATTCTTGGTTCACTTGGGAGGATGTCTTTGGTAAAAAAATAATAATAATAATAAAATAAAAATTCAAAAGCCAGAAATATCGGCTGTTTTTCCCAGCTAAAATCTGAGAATAAGGCCAGGTGCAGTGCCTCACTCCTGTAATCCCAGCACTCGGGAGGCCAAGGTGGGTGGATCACCTGAGGTCAGGAGTTCGAGACCAGCCTAGCCAACACGGTGAAACTCTGTCTCTACTAAAAATACAAAACTTAGCTGGGCATGGTGGTGCATGACTGTACTACTACTCAGCTACTCAGCTGTACATGACTGTACTACTACCCAGCTACTCAGGAGGCTGAGGCAGGAGAATTACTTGAGCCGAGATCATGCCACTGCACTCCAGCCTGGGCGACAGAGTGAGACTCCATCTCAGAAAAATAAATAAATAAATAAATAAATAAATAAATAAATAATCTGATAATAAGAGATTTTAAGATAATTTTTTAAAGGCTCTATGGTTAACAGTTCACTTAATTAAAAGCTAATATTCAAACTACTTATATGTATAGGTATATTTTAAAGGACTTTTGGTATATGTTAAAGGACTTTTGGCTTTTTCCCGTTTGTATTCTGTTTTTAAAATTTTTTTCTCAATTGACCAACATTTTTTTTTAAGTATGTGCCTGGTCCCTCTGCTCACTTCCTTTCTTAAGAATTGTTCTCCCATTTACTTTTACTGCTCCCTGTTCTTTCTTTCCCTTTGCCATCTTTGGTACCACATGAAAAGATCTATGGGGACATCTAATGACTCAGATCCCTTATGGAACACAGAAAAAAGCATCGCTCACCCCATTTTAGGGTCTCCTGTCTTCCTGTAGAGTCTAAAGAGTTGTGGACAGATTCCTCTCAGCTCTAAAACTATGCGCTCTTTTGTATTTTATCACCTGATCTCTTGGGCTTTTGGGAGTAGCAGAGATTATTTTTTACTGAGAGGACACTTGCCCTTTGTGTCTATGATGACTGCAAGTCCCTGGCAAGAGCTACAGTTTTAGAGGTGACTGACAGCAGTCATTTACAATAAATGATTATTACGACAGGGGGCTAGTTATTTTTTTCATGTTTAAATAAGAAAGGCACAATCTAAACACTTAGAGAAATGTCTCTGTAGCACAGTGCACTGTGGAAGCATTGCATGGCCCTGCCCATGGTGTTTTCCTCTTTTGGGGGACCCACGATTCAGTTCAAGGGTGAGATCATTGGTTTTTAAAGGGTTAAATGTTCTGTCTTCCAACTACAACTGCTTTTCATGTATTTAAAATATCAGGCCCTAAAAATTGCAAATGCACTGTTGGCCCTGTTCCTTAATGGGCTCTGCCATGAGCTCAGTGATCTAGTTAGAAAACAGAACTAAATTAACAGCTATCTGCTGAAATGAAATTGTTCTCTTTATACAATTCTATGGTAAATTCCTATCATTTTGTGTTACCTTGGCTTCTTTCTTTCTTTCTTTCTTTCTTTCTTTTTTGTTTTTTGCTTTTAGTAGAGATAGGTTTTCACCATGTTGGTCAGGCTTGTCTCAAACTCCTGACCTAAAGTGATCCACCCTCCTCAGCCTCCCAAAGTGCGAGGATTACAAGCATGAGCCACTGTATCTGGTCTACCTTGGCATTCATTTTTAATCTTCCTCTAACACAAACAAACTCCTTATTGAAAAAGCTTAAATTATCTCTATGTATATGCTTTGAGATATAAATTGCTATCTGGTTTTCTCTAAAACTCAATAAGCGTTTCTCAGGATAAACCTTAAAGTTTTCCATTTATAAAGGCACAGTTTTCCTCCCGCTGTCCCTTTAAATTAGTGAGTTTTACTATTCTCATGGCTAAAATTCTAAAATCAAAACTATAAAGCCTTTATTGATGTCTGTCTATGGTTTTCTGTGTTCATGTGTATTGTCTGTTTGTATACTATCTATATGGTACCAAATTGATTTATAAATAAATGAGCACTCATAAATTAGGTAAATAAGCTTAAATGTTGTTTAAGTTCGTATGATTTTAGTAATCTTTGGCAAATAGTTTGTTAAATTGTAAATAAAAACATCTTTAGAATATAATTTAGACAATTTTGCCTGGGTCTATTGGTCAGACAGGTTTATACTGTCCTGATAAATGTTTTAAGGTCATAAAACTGTTGCTTCTATGTTATTTTTAATACTTGAATAATTTGTCTGTGAGCTTACATCTTTGGATTTGAGCCTTTAGATTCTGAAGTCTAGATAAGTGACCATAGTGGGGTGTGGGGACAACACTTAGGCCCTTTCCTCCCTTGCTCAGCTGTGCCTCTTGGCCATGCTGAGAGGGGTTATATCCTCTAAGCATTGTCTTCACAGCTCTGTTTTTTGTCCTGGACATTACATCTCGTACATGATTAAAATTGCTTACTGCTGAGGCTTTTCATAAAAAATAAGGATTATTAAGAGTAAACATTTAATTAATATATGTAATTAAAACTATTAGATATAAGAGAAACAATTCCATATGTAAAGTATATAAAGAAAGTAGGAAGGACTTTTGGTTGAAAAGAAAAGTTATAAAAAGGCATGAGAATGTGGTTTTTGTTACAGGGAAAGTAACGAAATTTACTTGGCTTCTAAAAGTTGGTTTTAGCTTTTAAAAGTTGGATTATATTAAAGAAATTTAAAAATCGATAAACTAAATGGATATAAAAAGTTGGAAAAAATGAGAAAAATTGTAAGAGGTTATAAAATATTTATAAAAATCTTATGGTTAAAACTGATTGAGATTGGATATATTTGCTTACAAGTTTTTATTAAAATTAGCATGAACATTAATTATACACTAACACAAAGGTAGAATTTGGATTTCTTTTTTGAATAAGATTTTTGTATAGTATTAATAAGAGACAGAAAAATATTTTTGTTTAACTTTTCATTAGACTACAAGAAAAAGAGAGGGGAGAGAGGGAGAGACAGATTTTTGTTTCCCTTATGGTGTTTTTGTCAGGTTTTATAATTGGGAAACTGAGTGTCCTCTCTGTTGAAGAGTAAAATGTTTTGCTTTTTAAAATGTTTTCATTATCACTTAGCTAAATTAATGACTATTATTTTATAATGATCTGTGATCCTATTTTGAGCAAGCGTTTTAAACTTTTGATATTTGACAAACTTTCCTAAATCAACGTTTCAAATTCTAAACTCAGTTTTTTTAACCTCAGACTAACTTTATTTATATTACGCCCCCTGGAAGTTCAAACGAGCTATATTAGGATTATTTAGTATGTTAAAATCATACAGGAAGCATTGTCAAATATGAAATGGTGTTTAACTTTCTTTGCATTGTATTTGTGTAAATGCATTATTAATATATATTCCAAAATTATGAGATTTCTAAAATTCTGATATATTTTAGTATATGTTAATAATAATTATGATTATTATGTTAAATTATTGCATGTCATAGAAATAACCAAATGTCCTTGTCAAATGTCATTAGCCATAGTTATTCTAAGATTTTTGTCATCCACAGACAATTATTGTTTTACTATGATTCTTCTCAAAAAGTGGTTTATAATCAGCTACAGTATAAAATTGCTTCTTTAAGAAAATGTGTGGAAAAGGCTCTGACAAGTACTCTTATTCAGGTTTCTGATAGCTTTAGAGATTATACCATTGGAATAAATAAAAACTTCCAGCATTCATGAGAATTGCTGGCCCAACATCAGGCAAAACAAGAATTAATTACATGGGACTGAACTAACAGAGGACTAAAATGATGTTTTATGATTTCTTTTGTTTGAAACACTGCTTTTTTTTTTAACGTTTTGTCTTCCAGGGTCAAGAAAACTTTTTCTTTTGAGCTATTCAAGCTTACAACAAATTGGGTAAAGTATATTTTGTGAGCAAAACCTGAAGCTTTTATATTTCTCTCTAACTCATTTCTCCAGAATTTGGAAACTATATTTTTAATTTATAGCAATATAGTTATTTGCATAAATTCAATAAAGATCTGTTGTATTTATGTTTGTTTGTTTGTTTCTCTAACAGGACACAATTGGAGATACTGGTTACTTTACAAAGCATTTAACTGGAATGGCATATTTTCCATAATGACCAGACTGCTTTGAGGAATTAAGGTTGACTTATAAAGCTCAAAAAAAGCTTCTTGGAAAGGCTGGTCTGGTATGTTGTCTGCAAGGTTCCTTTACAAGTTCCCTGACCTTTGGTAACTAAGGAATGTCACTTTCTGACAGTCCCAGGAACCTCAAATTATTTGAGCACTTTGAGGAAAGAGGAACTCACCCAATTCATACAGATATTGCAATAGTCTGATGGCAAATCCTTGGCATGGCTTCTAGCCTTGAGGCTTTTAAAAGTCTAATCTGAGATTCCTTATGAAAAAGTTCCAGCAAAGTCAGTCTTAAAAGAGTTTATATGCAGCCTGAATGACATAGTAAGAATCCCATCTCTAAAAGAAGAAGAAAAATAAATAAAAATAAAAAAGCCTATATAGCCAATCACAATTCTTGCTGCACTTTATGCAAATAACCAGGCCAAGTATAATAAGACTAAAACTTATCTTGAAAATACATTTGTCCTACTGTAATTTGTCTTTGGTAGAAATAGAGGACCGTAGAAATAAAAATTATGTTCCAAAAGAAAACTAGAGTATACCTGTTATGAGATTCCAGCTGTGTCCATTATTTTTGAGTTTTTATTATATGCCTACACTTTGGATTGAATTCTGAATTTTTTTCTGGCCACACGTCTCCAAACTAATATTTCCAAATGCTTCTTTCGTTTTCCTGACTTGGAATCACTAGACACTAAAACTGTGCTTTTCTTAAAGCCTTGCAAACTGAAGCTAAGCAACTTAAATGAACTTCAGGAGAAATCCAAGCAACTTTTATAAATCATCTTCTCACCTCCTGATGTATGGACTACTCAGAAAGTTTACTTGAACACTTAATTCAAACTACAATCCAGAAAAATCTGTCAGATTGCCATTGCAATTTGAAGATGCTTCAGAGACTCTAGAAAAATTAGTCTATAGAGTACTCCAGATATTAACCTTTTTCTTCTTTTTCCATAGAAATGCCTCTTATTAAAGATCTGTTTGCCTACATCATATGTAGAGGCCTATCCTATCTGCAATGCCACCTCTTAGAATGGGACACAGCCATTTAACTAAACTGATCTATTCTCAGGGCTAAGAGGCTGATTAAAGAAGATATGGGTTGATATATTTAAAGTCGTTCTTTTGTGTTTATCCCAATTTGTCTCCACTCCTTTGTCTAGCAACATCTAGCCCAAATCCCTCCAGTGGGATCAACTTGGTTTTTAATATGTGAAAATTTTTTAACGTTTCAAAGTGGAGTCTGAAGGAAAGAAAAATATTTTTCCTCAAAATACACTTCTTTGACATATTTTTGAGATGGCTACCAGAGAGCCAGCAAAATGAAGTAGCACCCTCCAAACCTGTGGTTTGTGGAGAAAATTTGCATCTGTAGAAAATCTGCATTGATGCAGCCAGACACTCCCTCATCCAGACCCAGCAAACATTAACTGAGAGTCTGACATCTTTAAAGGACTGGGCGGGGGAGAAATTTACCATTTAATCTCACTGAGGACTGCTACCTCTGAGGTTCCATTTACATAATAAGATCACTTTTGCTAGCCAAGTCTCCTGTTCTCTCCTTCCCATAACCTGTCTTGCCACTAAAACCCAATTTACCATCACAACTTGTTTTTGGCCATGCACCAAGTCCCCATTCTTTCTGTCATCTTGAGATGGCATATAAGCTTCTGCACCCCAGTGGGGAGTTGGGTCTTCATTCTGAAGTGTTCCCATCTACAATGTAAACATTAATGATAAATTAGCATACTCTTTCTCCAATTAGCCTGCCTTTTGTGGAGTGATTTGAACCTTCTGAGGACAAAGAGGAAGTTTTCCTTTTACCCTTGCACTTCTTTACAGCTTCCTTGACCAGGCCCTTGCTTACACACCCAGGATCTCAGCCTCATCTCATTTTGCAGCACATTGATGTTCCTGTCTTCCCCCAGTCCTCCTCTTCGCCATACAAAGTTGTGCCACACATGTTCTGCATCTGTCAGAATGACCTGCAGCTACACACTCCAAAATACTTACACACACAGTATCTCCTGAGGATGTACATAGGTTCACTCTCTCTCTCTCTCTCACACACACACACACACACCACACACACACACACACACACACACACACACACCACTCAGCTCTTACTATCCTAGGACTCTCGGTCGGGTCTTTGACAAGCCAAGCCTCCCCTTGCTTGCTGTGTCTTTCCCCCTCCTCTAGGCTCTGCCAGGCATGACTCATTTGCCACTTTACTCCATCCCATGGTTCCTGTAGATGGCAGGGGGAAGTGGGATCATTGGCCGTGAGTACCAAATGATCTATTATTATGGAAAATTCTTTTCCAGATGAAACTCCTTGGCCATCTGGCAAAATGTGTAATGAGGGGAAACCAAAAGGAGAAGGAAAAACCCATGAAACATTTGCTCATTTCAGGTTGGGAAGGAAGATAAAAACAGAATATGGTCTACTCAAATGCATCTACTAACACAAAGCATAAGACAGAGCAGCCTATATTAGTGAAAGAAGCATCTGTATTTCACCCCTGTGCACATAATAGTTATTATTGGTTTAGAGATGGGGTCTCGCTATATTGCCCAGGCTGGATTTGAAGTCCTGGGCTCAGCCTCAAGCTTCCATCTCAGCCTCCCACCTCAGTCTCCCAAGTAGCTGGGACTACAGGCATGCACCACCATACCTGGCTGATAATATTTATTTATTTTTTTTTTTTGAGACAGAGTTTTGCTTTGTTGCCCAGGCTGGAGTGCAGTGGTGCAATCTCGGCTTACTGCAACCTCCGCCTCCCAGATTCAAGCGATTCTCTTGCCTCAGTCTCCCGAGTAGCTGGGATTACAGGCATACACCATCACGCCCAGCTAATTTTTTGTATTTTCAGTAGAGACAAGGTTTCACCATGTTGGCCAGGCTGGTCTCAAACTCCTGACCTCAAGTGATCCACCTGCCTCAGCCTCCCAAAGTTCTGGGATTATACGCGTGAGCCACAGTGCCTCGCCTGGCTCATAATATTTAAATTGTAGATTTGAAACTAACTTTTGCCAGGAGAAACTTGTGAGAGGCAATATTTTTAATGGTGTTAGTTGGGGAGAACATTTGCATTTTTGCCTGATACAATGTGTGAATAACATTTATTTGCCTTGCTCTTCCTAAGTAAAAGTAAAAACCATTCTGTGATTTTTGTTTATGTTAATTTATGAAAAACATTTTAATGTCAAAAATAAAAAATTATCTAACATTTCCATTTTATGCCCATATTCTGAATATGTACTCTCCCTGATTTTTAAATATTCTACTCATGTAACCTGAAATCAGAACAGCAAGTCCCAAGGACAGAGTTAGAATCATAATATATTCCTTCTCTTATAAAGCTATAGATCAGCCACAGTGAAGATTTGTCCACTTTATTTCCAACTGAGACAGAATTTTGGCATGAGACAGAGAAAGAATGTGCTTTATGAGAAACAGACAATGCTGACTTTTCCTCAACTTGGCTCTGACAAGCAGAAAGTTATTTTCCAGTAATGAAAGTACAAGAATATTTCTGTTTGGATAATAATCATATTTGAATTAGTCACATGAAAATGGGATATGAATTATCCATGTCAAAAGGGGAAAAGAGAGTGGTGATTATCAAAACACTTTCAAGGTCCTCTTAGTTTTCCTGGTATGCAAAAAGATGCCAGTATGCAAATTTCAAAACATCTTAATCAGCCTTTCAAGAATAAATCATTCCTGAGTCCTTAGATCCCTAGGGAGGGGCCCAAGACTCAGCATTTTATCTGCCTAAGAAGACCAAGATCTTTCTGTTGGGTGCCCATTCCCATATGTGAAACTTTCAACTTTGACTCTGCCTTTTAGATCCTTGTTTCTTTCCTGATTGTAGCTACATCGTGCTCTTTATTATTTGCAGTCCTTGGCTCTGGTCTCCCACCTCTTGCACACGCCACAAATTTCCCCTCAAGGAATGAGTCTATGACTGTGAAAGAAAAAAAGAAGAAAACCTCCCATTTCCCAGCTTGGTGAGGAACTGTGTGTTTACACTTTTCCCTCTTCCCCTCTGTATCTTCATCTGCTTCTTGGAGTGGTGACAATGCCAACTGCAACACTGACTCGACAAATGCAGACTAGTGAAGATTCTTTTGATTAGAAGCAACAGAAGAAAACTTCACACTTGCTAGAGCCAAAAAAACAAGGTAGGAGAAGGAGATTTATCATAAAGATACAGAGGTGA